>NC_000003.12:123705574-123857089 GCF_000001405.40 Homo sapiens | reverse complement strand
TGGTTTTGATTTGCATTTCTCTGATGGCCAGTGATGGTGAGCATTTTCTCATGTGTTTTTTGGCTGCATAAATGTCTTCTTTTGAGAAATGTCTGTTCATGTCCTTCGCCCACTTTTTGATGGGGTTGTTTGTTTTTTTCTTGTAAATTTGTTTGAGTTCATTGTAGATTCTGGATATTAGCCCTTTGTCAGATGAGTAGGTTGCGAAAATTTTATCCCATTTTGTAGGTTGCTTGTTCACTCTGATGGTAGTTTCTTTTGCTGTGCAGAAACTCTTTAGTTTAATTAGATCCTATTTGTCAATTTTGCACAATTTTTTTTTATACCAAAGATCAGGTGTCCTCAGTTTGCAATATGGAAACAATTTGGGTTTGGGAGTCATATGTGAATTCAAGTCCAGCCTGTGTAACACTTTGAGAAATCACTGAACTTCTCTGAGCCTGTTTCCTATATTGAAAAATGAAGATAACATTGCCCTGGTTTGTATGAGTAGCTGATGTGAAGATTAGGAACGTATATAAAATGCACTGTAATACATAAAGAAGGTCCCCATTAAATAAAGGCTGTTATTATTAAGAGGTACTCAATAAATATTTGAATGGATAATATAGTTAAATGGAAAACTGGCTGTGTTAGGGTTGACTTGGCAAAAGCAAAACCAAAAAGAAGCACACATGTGAAATAACCCCTGTTGTTAGGTGGTTAGCATTGAGATTTATGTGCCTCATTCAACCTGGTACCCTGGTGAGACCAATTCTGGGCAGTTCCCAGTGTATGCACAAACGAGAGGGTTGTAGTGGTGTGTTACAGAGGAAAATGTTCCAATTGGGAACCAACTTTCTCCTTCCACACTCACAGGCAACAAAGCGTTCCTTTCCAGGTAAAGAGGAAGAAAAACTACTGAAGTGTCATAGATTCTCCATTTGTTGATTCCAAACTAGGTGTTGTCCCTTTATATTTCCAGTAACTGAGTAAGGATAACATCACAAACACTGGGGACTCAGGTGCCCAGGCCCCAGTGTACCAAGTTCTGTTCTGGAAAGAATAGACTTGCAGTTTTGAGATATAAACAAATTGCAGTATTCACTGTTTCCTCTTTCATCTCACTCTTTCTACCTGAAATGTTTACACTCGAATGAGTGGAAAAGATTATATTAGTCTTTAAAATTCCTGACAAAGTCCTCTGCTCTAGGTGGCTTGATCAGTGAAAGCTTTGGTGTAAAAGCAGAAGGTCCCAAATCTCTAGGGCAGGTAGTGGTGGCAAAAAGCAGGATCGGGGTCTATTTGCTTTGGTTACCATGCTTGTCTTTTGGAGTGAGAGGCTTTGGCAAAGTGATGATGCTTCTGGGGCACCAGTTAGGAATGGTTGGCATTCACAGATGATCTCCTTCTCCTTTTTAAAAATTTTAATTTTGTTTTTATTTTTTTAATTTCTTGTATTTATTTTTTTAAGGACAGGGTCTCACTCTATCACCAAGGCTAGAGCAGAGTAGCACAATCATAACTCACTGTAGCCTCCAACTCCTGGGCTTAAGCAAACCTCCCACCTCAACCTCCTGAGTAGCTAGAACTACAGGCTCATGCTCCAGCCTGGGTGACAGGATGAGGCCTCATCTCTTAAAAAAAATAATAAACAATGAGATCAGGTATATATAAAAACATATATAAATGAAAAATATAGTTATTGAAATAAGATGCAATAGATGGGATACACTGGAGACTGGTTACCATTGAAGCATGAGTTAACAGATTGGAAAATAGTACGGAGAAGTTTAGCCTGGCTGCGGCACAGAAATATAAAGATGTCAAAAACATGAAAGAACGGTTTAAAGGTATGGAAGGTAAATGACAGGCTTCAACATTATTTAATAAAAGCTACAGAAAGAGATTTAAAAAGGGAATGGAAGTGAAGCAATATTTAAATAAATGATTAATAATTTTCCAGAATTGAGTAACAACATGAGTTCTCAGAACAAAAGTGTCTCCTAATACTTTGAAAGCTAAACAAAAGTTAACCCGCAATTAGACATAGTGAAACTGCAGAAACTGCTTTTTATTTCTCTTCAGAAAAGAGAAAAAAGAGCAACTTAAAAATCCAAAATAAAAATACAAGTTATGTATAAATAAATGACAGACTGACAGGTATTTCATCAGCAACAAGAGAGGTAAGAAGACAGAGGAGTAACTTTTCTGTGTTGACCCTAAAATACTATACCTAGATAAACTATCCCAGGAGAATGAGAGCAAAACAAAGACCAAGAATATAAATACAAAGATGCTCACTGAAATAACTATTAAAGGATATATTTTGAGTGTTTGTTTCTTTTTAATTCCCATTTCTATTTTAGATTCAGTGGGTACACGTGCAAATTACAAGAATATATTGTGAGATGCTAAGGTTTGGGCTTCTATTGATCCCATCACCCACAGATAGGAAACACTGTATCCAATAGGAGGTTTTTCAGCCCTTGCCCCTCCCCCTCCTTTTGGAGTCACCAGTGTCTATTGTTCCCATAAAGGATATGTTTTGGAAAGAAAAAATTAAACAGTGAGAAAATATGTACAATGTAAGAGGCAATGGTAAACATAGAAATTGATAAAATATATTTATATTTATTTGTTAGCTATGCAAAAAATTCATAAGTGTGTATGGTTTGAAAAACATGATTAAAATGAAGACTAGGCAACAATAGCAAGATGGTGCAGATTTTTTGGGGGAAAATGTTAAAGCCATATTCAGAGTCAGGAAGATAATAATTATAGATTTTTTAAGAAAAAACTATAGTCATCAATTGTACCCAGAGGGTTAGGCTACATTACTAAACTCAGTGGCCCAAAATAAACATTATCTTATTTAGCTTCCAATTCTTTGGGTTGGTTGGGCAATTTTTAAATCTGGGCCAGCTCAGCAGATCTTGATTGGACTCTATCATGCCTCTATGGTCAGCCGGCGACTAGATGATCTAGGATAGCCTCACTCACATGTCTGGAAGTTGACTGTCTGATCCTTGGATGTCTTAGTTCTCTTCCAAATTGCTTCTCATCTTCCAGCAGGCTACCTTGGGGTATTCACATGGTAGACCCAGGTTTCCAAATGCAGCAAGAGAGAAGCATTTAACTGTCCAAAAACTTTTTAAGCCTCTGCTTATGTTATATGTGCTAATGTCCTGTTAGTCAAAGCATGTCACATTGCCAAGCCTGGATTCAATGGGGAGAGAAATAGACTCCACATCTTGACAGAAGTAAAATAATTTATGGGTGTTTTTGGAATCTATCAGAGTCTGCTCTTTGGCCTCATTTCTCATGCATGCAAAATATGCTCATCCTTATCCTAAGCTCTCTGTCTTATTTATAGCATCAGGTTGGAAGTCTATGATCTCATGATTTTATCACATTCAGATATGAAAGAGGGTCCTCAGCTGTAGCTCCTTGGGTACGGCAGCTCTTGATCCAGAATTTAAAATGACAAGTCACCTGCTCCCTACACCTCCATCATATAGTGGTGAGACGGGCAGGATAACTGGAATAGACATTTCTCTTCAAAAAGGAGAAAAACAAAAGGCACATAGCAGTTACTGGTCTGTAACAAATCAAAATTCCCCTGGGGCAAATGTTGCCAGGTCATCTAATCTAGGACCATTGCTTCTGCTCTCTGGGGTGTCTTCCCAGTTTGTTGTTCTCCAAGGCTCTTGACTCCATTCTCTAGTATCTTGGTTCTCCCCCTTAAAAAGCCTTTCCTTTTCCATAAGAAATAGTGCAGCTGAGTCCCTCTCTCATCTGTCTTTCTTTCCATAGTTGAGGGCCCAGAGACCTCTTTGTGGCTTAATCAATTTTAGTCCCTTCCAGTCCAAGCTGATGGTGTTTTGTTGGGATGATTTTCTTTAAAATATTGTGGGCTTTCTATGTAATAGGATATAGCCCAACTCATTGTATAAAAACTACACCCACAATTTTTTTTTTTCTCTCTAGAGTTATTCGGTGACTTGGGATTAGGCTTCTGTCAGGCCCTTAAGATTCTTAGGAGCTTTTTTGACAAGATAAGGTGTGCTAGGCACTTTCTTAAATCCTTCAGAGGCCTTAACAAATGGTCATACAACCCAACTCTTAATTTGCTCTTTTAAGGCCTCCTTTTACTCTGAGAATATTTTACTCAAAGGTTGTCAAATATGGGGAGACTGGAGACGAGGTACAGTTTTATTTTCCAACACCGCAAATCCTGGACCTTCTATATTCCATCTAAATTCTGGTTGCAAACTGAACATTTCCTTCTTTAGCTCACCTTTGTCTTGCCATACTTTAGCATATGCAGTTAAGAGCTCCTAAATGACACTTTCGAAATTCTGTCTGGAGATCTACTTAGCTGCAACTAGGAGTTCACTAGGGTCTTTTCTTTTTGAAAATCTCAGGAGCTGGTTTTTTGAAAAGATCAGCAAAATTGATAGACCGCTAGCGAGACTAATAAAGAAGAAAAGAGAGAAGAATCAAATAGACACAATAAAAAATGATAAAGGGGATATCACCACCGATCCCACAGAAATACAAACTATCATCAGAGAATACTATAAACACCTCTACACAAATAAACTAGAAAATCTAGAAGAAATGGATAAATTCCTGGACACATACACCCTTCCAAGACTAAACCAGGCAGAAGTTGAATCCCTGAATAGACCAATAACAGGCTCTGAAATTGAGGCAATAATTAATAGCCTACCAACCAAAAAAAGTCCAGGACCAGACGGATTCACAGCCGAATTCTACCAGAGGTACAAGGAGGAGCTGGTACCATTCCAATCAATAGAAAAAGAGGGAATCCTCCCTAACTCATTTTATGAGGCCAGCATCATCCTGATACCAAAGCCTGGCAGAGACACAACAAAAAAGAGAATTTTAGACCACTATCCTTGATGAACATTGATGTAAAAATCCTCAATAAAATACTGGCAAACTGAATCCAGCAGCACATCAAAAAGCTTATCCACCATGATCAAGTGGGCTTCATCCCTGAGATGCAAGGCTGGTTCAACATACGCAAATCAATAAACGTAATCCAGCCTATTAACAGAACCAAAGACAAAAACCACATGATTATCTCAATAGATGCAGAAAAGGCCTTTGACAAAATTCTACAGCCCTTCATGCTAAAAACTCTCAGTAATTTAGGTATTGATTGGATGTATCTCAAAATAATAAGAGCTATTTATGACAAACCCACAGCCAATATCATACTGAATGGGCAAAAACTGGAAGCATTCCTTTTGAAAACTGGCACAAGACAGGGATGCCCTCTCTCACCACTCCTATTCAAGATAGTGTTGGAAGTTCTGGCCAGGGCAATCAGGCAGGAGAAAGAAATAAAGGGTATTCAATTAGGAAAAGAGGAAGTCAAATTGTCCCTGTTTGCAGATGACATGATTGTATATGTAGAAAACCCCATCGTCTCAGCCCAAAATCTCCTTAAGCTGATAAGCAACTTTAGCAAAGTCTTAGGATACAAAATCAATGTGCAAAAATCACAAGCATTCTTATACAGCAATAACAGACAAACAGAGAGGCAAATCATCAGTGAACTCCCATTCACAATTGCTTCAAAGAGAATAAAATACCTAGGAATCCAACTTACAGGGGATGTGAAGGACCTCTTCAAGGAGAACTACAAACCACTGCTCAACGAAATAAAAGAGGACACAAACAAATGGAAGGACCTTCCATGCTTATGGGTAGGAAGAATCAATATCATGAAACTGGCCATACTGCCCAAGGTAATTTATAGATTCAGGCCATCCCCATCAAGCTACCAAGGACTTTCTTCACAGAATTGGAAAAAACTACTTTAAAGTTCATATGGAACCAAAAAAGAGCCCACATTGCCAAGACAATCCTAAGCCAAAAGAACAAAGCTGGAGGCATCACGCTACCTGACTTCAAACTGTACTACAAGGCGACAGTAACCAAAACAGCATGGTACTGGTACCAAAACAGAGATATAGACCAATGGAACAAAACAGAGCCCTCAGAAATAATACCACACGTCTACAACCATCTGATCTTTGTCAAAACTGACAAAAACCAGAAATGGGGAAAGTATTCCCTATGCAATAAATGGTTTTGGGAAAACTGGCTAGCCGTATGTAGAAAGCTGAAACTGGATCCCCTCCTTACACCTTATACAAAAATTAATTCAAGATGGATTAAAGACTTAAATGTTAGACCTAAAACCATAAAAACCCTAGAAGAAAACCTAGGCAATACCATTCAGGACATAGGCCTGGGTAAGGACTTCATGTCTAAAACACCAAAAGCAGTGGCAACAAAAGCCAAAATTGACAAATGGGATCTAATTAAACTAAAGAGCTTCTTCACAGCAAAAGAAACTACCATCAGAGTGAACAGGCAATCTACAGAATGGGAGAAAATTTTTGCAATTTACTCATCTGACAAAGGGCTAATATCCAGAATCTACAAAGAACTCAAACAAATTTACAAGAAAAAAACAAACAACCCCATCAAAAAGTGGGCAAAGGATATGAACAGACACTTCTCAAAAGAAGACATTTATGCAGCCAAAAGACAAATGAAAAAATGCTCATCATCACTGGCCATCAGAGAAATGCAAATCAAAACCGCAATGAGATACCATCTCACACCAGTTAGAATGGCGATCATTAAAAAGTCAAGAAACAACAGGTGCTAGAGAGGATGTGGAGAAATAGGAACACTTTTACACTGTTGGTGGGATTGTAAACTAGTTCAACCATTGTGGAAGACAGTGTGGCAATTACTCAAGGATCTAGAATTAGAAATACTATTTCACCCAGCCATCCCATTACTCGGTATATACCCAAAGGATGATAAATCATGCTGCTATAAAGACACATGCACACATATGTTTACTGCAACACTATTCACAATAGCAAAGACTTGGAACCAACCCAAATGTCCAACAATGATAGACTGGATTAAGAAAATGTGGCACATATACACCATGGAATACTATGCAGCCATAAAAAAGGATGAGTTTATGTCCTTTGTAGGGACATGGATGAAGCGGGAAACCATCCTTCTCAGCAAACTATCGCAAGGACAAAAAACCAAACACCGCATATTCTCGCTCATAGGTGGGAATTGAACAATGAGAACACTTGGACACAGGAAGGGGAACATCACACACTGGGCCCTGTTGTAGGGTGTGGGGAGGGGAGAGGGATAGCATTAGGAGATATACCTAATGTAAATGATGAGTTAATGGGTGCAGCACACCAACAGGGCACATGTATACATATGTAACGAACCTGCACGTTGTGCACATGTACCCTAGAACTTAAAGTATAATAAAAAAAAATGAATAAATGTACTCAGAAAAAAAAAGAAAATCTCTTAAGTTACTGCAAGCTTTAGTTTCACCAGTTGTTCTGTCTCAACCCAACACGAGCCATCATTTTGCCAGCCTGCTATAGCAGTTTCTTCTCCATTTCTCCGGCAAACTGTTTTCTTACTGCTTTTCTCACCACTAGAAAAGCCATTATTTCAAAGCCAGTACCACATGTTATAATTTTTCTTATGGCACCACCCCACATTTGAAAGCAACTGCTGTATCAGTTAGCTTTTACTATATAATAAACCACCCCAAAATTTAGAGACTTAAACCATAGCTATTTTTATTTATATCACAATTCTTTGGGTTGGCTAGGTAGTATTTCTGATCTGGACCAGCACAACTGATCTCTTAACTACATGCAACTAAAGCTATTCTTTGAGGAAAATTTATGGCCTTAAATGCATTTATGAAACATTTAACATATGAAAAATAAGTTGAGGTCAGGCATGGTGGATCATAGCTATAATCCAAGCACTTTAGGAGGCCAAGGTGTGGATCACTTGAGCTCAGAAATTTGAGACCAGCCTGAGCAACATGGCGACACCCTGCCTCCACAAAAAATACAAAAATTATCCGGGTGTAGTGACGCGGGCCTGTAGTCCCAGCTACTCAGTAGGCTGAGGTGGGAGGATATCTTGAGTCTGGGAGGCTGAGGCTACAGTGTGCTGTGATCATGCCACTGAACTCCAGGTTGGGCAACAGAGCGAGACCCCATCTGCCCTCAATTCCTACCAAAAAGAAAAGGATAACATGTTGAATAGGTATTACTATAAATTTTATTTGGCTATATTTAAAAGATAATCTAAATGACCATGGCTTTAATGACCTAGGGGTTTAACATTTGCCATATAACAAGAAGTTTCGAGGTAGTCCAAGGCAAATATGGATTCTCCATTATGCCATCAGGGTCCTGGGCTCTTTTAACATCCAGTCATCTAAACATAATTTTCATACTCATGCTTGCTGCCTCATGGTTGCAAAATGGCTGCTTTACTTCCAGTTTAGCATTCACATTCCAAGCATGATGGAGAAAGGACAGGTTTTGAAAAAGGCATGTGCCAAGTGAGTTGGCTACCTTTAATTAGAGAGCTTTCTTGGAAGCCCTATGTAATAACTTTCACTTATATGTCATTGGTTAGAACTGTGTCATTTGGCAGTTCCTAGCTGCAAGGGAGCCAGGGAAGTATAGTGTTTTTTTTTATTTTAGCATGGTGTATTGCCTTCCCAAACCAAATAAGGGTATGTTAGTACGGAACAAGGGAGAATATTATAAATATTGTGTAAGCAATTATTGTTGTCTACTATATATATCCTACTCAAGAAGCTAGAAAAAAAATCCTAAAGAAACCTTTGGAAAAGTAGAAGGAAGGAAACAAAGGAAGACAAATGAAATAGAATGTCATTTGGAGGATTAAAAAAGTGATATAGATAAAACCCTAGTAAGGCTTTTTTTTTTTCAAAATAAGACCCACAAATAATATTTTGAATGAAATGGAAATATAACTCCTGATATGAAATTGATAATAAACATCAAAAACCTATACTCTGAAAATTTTTATGTTAAAATTTGGATTAGGAGGACACATGGGTAACTTTCTGGGCAAATATAATTTGCCATAACTACTTCAAAAGATATAGAAAACTGCAGTAAAATAACAATTATAAAGAATTTAAACTGATAGTTAAGAGACTTCTTCTCCCAAAAATATAAGGCTTAAATGGTTTTTTGCATGTAGAACTCCAAGAAGTAAATAATCCTAATATTGTGCAAACTGTCTAAGAGGATAGAAACTGGGGAAAAGCTGTCTTTTTAAAATAATGATAGTATAACTTAAATATCCAAATAAGACAAGAAGAACACAAGAAAGGAAAATTGTGGGCCAGTTTTATTTATAAATATAAATGCTTATGAAATATTTACAAATCTATTTCAAATATTTACATTCTGATTAAGTAGAGTTTGTGAAAGGAATAGAAGGATGATTCAACATTAGAAAATATATTAATGTCATAAAGAATATTAACAGATTAATAATGCCTATAATCTATTACATACAGAAAAAACATTAGTCAGAATTTAGCACTCATTCACAATTGAGGCAAACTTCTCAGAAAACTAAGAATAGAAGAGAACTTCCTTAACTTGGTAAAGAACATCTATCAAAATAGTACAGCAAAAAACAATCCTTAACAATACACAGTAACATCAGGCTCGCTTTCAATAAAGTCATAAAAAAGACAAGAATGCCCTTTATTGCTATATTCAGCATTGTACAGGAGGTTCTAGCCAATGCAATAGGACAAGAAAAATGTGAATATTGAAGATAAAGATTAAAATGTTCTTACTTGCATACCAATAAGATTTTCTTGGGATTTTTAAGTGGAAGATACAGTCATCCCTCACTATCCATGGGAGATTGGTTCCAGGACCTCCCTTGGGTGTCAAAATCTGTGGATGCTCAAGTCCCTTATATAAAATGGTATAGTATTTGCATATAGTCTACATGTATCCTGCTGTATACTGTAAATCATCTTTAGATTATATGTAATACCCAATACTATGTAAAGGCTATGTAAATAGTTGTTATACTGTATTTTTTATTTGTATTATTTTTATTGTTGTGTTGTTATTTTTATTAGATTTTTAAAAAATATATTTTGGATTTGCAGTTGGTTGAAGCCGTGGGTGCAGAACCCATGGATATAGAGAACCAACTGTATACTGTAAGAATTCCAAGTTCCATAAATACAGTATCAACATATTAAAGTACTATTTACCAGGAATAACCAATTAGAAAAATTAATAGATAAAGGATCCCATTTTCAGCAGTAACAAAAGCCATAATATACCCAGGAGTACACCTAACCAAAAAGTACACAAGAATATTTATGAAGAAAATTACAGTTGTTGAAAGGAAAAAAAAAAGAGATCCTTAATAAATGGAGAAAAGGGCTATATTGATAAACTGGAAGATTCATTATAAAGGTGCCAGTTCTCCACAAATTAATTCATAAGTTAAATGTACTTCTTAGTATGGATGAGCATATGGAATGACAGTCTCCTACGCTGCTGGAAGGACGGTACTACAGCTTTAGGAAACAATTTGGTTATACCCTTTACACCCAGGAATTTCGGTCCTAGATGGAGAATCTTTCTTGTGTACCTGAGTAGACGTTTAATATTAAAGTGTTCATTGCAGCAAAAAATGGGAAACAGTCCAAATTTCCACCAGTAGGAAAATGAATGAAATATTATGCATACTATATATAGCAGTAAAAGAACTATAGTTATATTTCTTAAGAGATCAATCTCAAAAACAACATTGAATGAAAGAAGCAAGTTACAGGAGGATATGAAAAGAATAGTGTTTATATGCGTTTTAAAGCCTGGAAAACAACACTATATATACAGTGTTTGTGCTTATACTGTCTTTCTGTGCATTCACACAAACATGTCTGGGAATGATAAAACAATGAGTTTATAATGGTTCTTACGGGAGGAACAGACATGGAAATGGGAAGAAAGGGTTCCCAAAGAGACACAAATGTATCTGATGTTCTTTTAATCAAGAATCCGTTTTGTCGCTATGATAGAAATCTTTCACCATTAAAAAGTGCTTTATCCTAAATGCAATGAGGTATCTTGGATTAGATCCTGGAACATAAAAATAACATCAGTTAAAAAACTGGTGAAATCCAAATAAAGTCTGGTTTCTTAGTTTTGAAAAATGTACCATGGTGATGTAATAGATTAACATTAGGGGAAACAGAGTGAAGAGTACCAGGGACTCTGTATCATGTCTGAAATTTTTCTAAGAATATAATGTTATTCCCAAATAAAACATTTATTTTAAACAGTGGGGAGGTGGTGGAATTTTTTAATGGCTTGAATTAGCTGGGCATAGAAGTGTGTAGCTGTAGTCCTAGCTATTTGGGAGGCTGAGATGGGTGGATTGCTTGAGTCCAGGAATCTGAGCCTGCAGTTAGCTATGATTGCCATTGTACTCCAGCCTGCGCTACAGAGCAAGACCCTGTCTCTAAAAAATAAAAAAATATAGCTGGGCATGGTGGTGTGTACTTGTAGTCCTGGCTACTTGGGAGGCTACGGCAGATGGATTGCTTGAGCCCAGGAGTTTGAGGCTGCAGTGAGCTGTGACTGCACCACTGCACTCCAACCTGAGCAACAGAGTGAGACCTTGTCTCAAAAAAACAAAACAAAACAAAACGAAAACCCAAAAGGTGCTCATGTCTATTTCCCCAGCATTGTCAACTTTGAACTCTGTCCCTGAGGTGGATGGACTCCTGACATGTCCTTGCGGTAAATATTTCCTGGGTATAAATGATGCTTCTAGTCTTTGTGTCCTGCATGTCTCATCTGCCCTGTTTTAGGACACTCCTAGAGGGTACCAGTCTCTCTGCAAAGTCTTCTTTATTCCAATTTCATGGGTCATTTGGTACTCACCTAAGACCCAGAGATCTTAGAGTTGGAATGGACCCTAACAGAGTGCCCTGTGCAGCCCCTTTCCACAGGGAGGTCAGTCCTCTGGAGGATAGGCTGAGGAACTCAGTGAGCAAAAAGGACTAGAACCCAGAAGTTTGCTTCCTAGAATTATCTTTGCTGTCACCTCATTGTCTCTTACAATAAAGGCAAAAGAGACTGAATACCCTCTCTTATTTGTTTGTTTGCTTTGAAAACTAGTGGAGAGGTCAGGCACTGTGGCTCATGCCTGCAGTGCCAGCTACTGAGGTGGCTGAGGCAGGAGGATTGCTTGAGGCCAGGAGTTCAAGGCTACAGTGCACTATGATTGTACCTGTGAATAGCCACTGCATGCTAGCTTGGGCAACATAGCAAGATCCTGTCTTTAAAAAAAAAAAAAAAAAAAAAAAAACAACTGAGGAGAAGAGTTATATATTACCCAGAAATGGTGACACACACTGGAGCTGGAGTTATCAAGGTGAGGTTGGTGCATCTTTTTTTCTCTGTGCTTACAGACCTTCCTAAGATTAGACACTGTCTGCTTCTGAGGGAAGAGTGGGCTGGGTGCAGACAGAACTAAGAGTTGTAGAATGTATGCCTGCCCCTCCGTCTTTATCACAACCCGATGGAGTGGTCAATTGCTCCTGTCTTAAGATGAGTTAACAGGCTTAGAAAGGTTAAGTGACTTCCCTAAGGTAATAAAACTAATAAGAGGTAGGCCTATATTTTAGGATTCTAAGAACTCATGACTAAGGAAGACCCCTCTGAAGGCAGGGAGGATGTATTCCCCAGAGCCAACTTTTACTCTTGAAAGAGCTGTGGCTGGGAATGATGTGGAACCTGAGCCAAGACAGAGCAGCTAGCCTAGGACAGGTTGAGGACAGATCCAGGTGGTGAGGATCAGGCCTGCCAGGGCTACATGCCACCATGGATTCCTCCCTCTGGAAAAGAAAGTTATACAAGTTGGCTTCCTGCTCCTCCTACCCCTCATTCCTCTGTTCCATCCTAGCTTGGGGGCCCATGTCCACTAGCCTTCCTGGGAGGCCTCCCCCAAACCAAGGTCCTTGCTTTGTCTCTGTTTAATAGGTATGGGAGAGGCTTATGTGACTAAAGAGGACACCTCAGAGCTTGGTCGAGATAGGTGTGTGAGAGTAAACTCAATCATTATGTGAATGTGGTTGTTGGCTGAACACAGAGCATAAACCTAGAAGATTTGTGGGAGCAAGGAGGGAAAATGCCTTTTAAGAGAGGTCTCCAAGGAGAATATGAGATTAGTTGAGGTTCAGTGAGTTCCTTTGTTGCTGACTCAAGAAGCATATTTGAAGGGATAAGCCCTCTCACTTAGAGCAGAAGCATCCCAGCCTTGTTGCCATAGTGACAGTGCTCAAACAGAGGCTTAAAAAACAGAAAACACCATGTCAGAAGGATTCCTTTGGAGCTATGATGCCCCAGTAGAGGTCCCAGCTATTGTGTGCTATGGAGGAGAGGGGCAGGGAATTTGAATAGTTCCCCTTCCTTCCTGTTTCTTGCTGTGGGGCTTTTGTTTTGGTCTTTCTCTCTGGACTGATACGGCCTTTGGAAAGGGATGTGTCTCTGCAGAAGGAACCAGTCTTCTTTTAAACCTGTGTCAGAAGTTGGAGGCATCTCTCTTTTTCAGGCCCTTTTCTTGGTTATGCTGCCTGTTAACTTGCCATTCTGGAATGTAGCAGAGTTTTCTGTAAAGCCAGCCACCTTACCTTTATTCCTATTAGAACATGAATCTGTTTGAAGCAAGCTACATATATAGTCTCCTTGTCCTGCTCCCTAGCTTGGATGCTCTTAGACCTGGATGTTCATTCTTATCTCATAGAGGAAGGATGAAAGGGCCCTTACAACCAGACAGACCTGTGAGATGTGGTCACTAGTCACTTGGCTTATCTGGCCTCTTTAAACTGTGCCCCAATTTGCAAGGACATATTAAAATATATGATTATTTCTCCTAATCTGTCTGATTTCATTGTTTCCAGTATTTTTGACATCTGGTCTTCGGCATCTTTGCTTTGACAACATGGTTTAGACTTCAGTTTGCTTTGACCCATGGACTGCTGAGACTTGAGCTATTGAATTACTGATACGGGAGTTGTGAGGGGTGTGTTGAGTCTGTTACTCCTTCTGGTTCTAGGTCCCTGCCTGATAAGCTGTATTCCACACTATCCGAAGATCATACCTTAAGCCTCAGCAAGCCCTCTGTCTTAAATATCAGAGTGTGTGGGTTCTGTACCTTGTCAGATCCGACATGGTGTCCGTCCCAGCAGCACATTGGGAGCTAGCCAAATCTGGATTAGACATAGTCTTGCCTTAGGGCACTTGCAGTCTAGTGATAGAAGTGACGCTAGAAATGTAAGCACCTCAAAGGAGAGATCTTTGTCTATTTTGCTTTGTTCATTAATGTATCCCCTATGCTTAGAACACTGACTGGTATGTAAGTATTTAATACAAATGTGTTGCATAAATGGACACAATGTCTATGAACAATGTCAAAAGAGAAGTACAAATGAATAAGGCAGTTTCAGAGAGATAAGATATTGGCAGAGGAAATGAACAGACAAGTTGATCTTGTTTTTTGTTATTGACTATATGATTCTTTGGAATTTGTTGAGACTTGCATTATAGCCTTTTGCAGTTTAATTTTTGAAAATATTTTCTATGTGTTTGAAAAGAGTAATGCATATTTTGTAATTATCAGGCATAGGGTTCTATATATGTCTATTAGATTAAGCTTTTTTGCCCATGGTGACAAATTTGGGAGTTTTCACACAAATAATTGTGAGATTGGATTAAATTGAGCAGAATTGGCCTGATTCTGAGCTGTGATATTGGAGATAGTTACTAGACCCCCATTTCTAAAACTGATGATGCCAGGGGTATTCTCTACCTCTTTATCTCACTTCTGTTATTATTATATAGTGATTCTCTTTCTGATTAATTATATTAAAGTCTTTTGTCTGATATTAATTTACTTATTCCAACTCTTTTATGGTTAGTTTTTGCCTAACTTATTTTTTCATTTATTATTTTCAATGCCTTTGTGTTTTCTAGGTTCATCTTATGAATAGTATATAGGTGGAATATATAGCTACAGATATAGATAGATATTGTATATAATATTGTATAATAATATTTTATCTGTCTTTTAATGGGTGAATTTGGTCCATTTATATTTATTGTGATTTCTGATAAAGTTAGAGTTGGAGAGACATGAGTATACCTGGATGGATGAATTGCTGATGGCCATGATGGGAGATAATCTACCACAACAGTATACCAGAAGATACCTAATAAATGTTAGTTCTCTTTTTTAACCCCTGTCTCTAGTCTCTTCCTAGTGGATATTTGGATGATTTAAGTAGATTTTTTCTGATTAGCTCCTTGGGTACAAATGTTATATCTTCCTGACACTCTCAGACTCTCTAAACCCTAGCATTCTGACCTTGTAGGTGGTGTATAAAAGAACTGGATTGATTGTAGGGGGTTAAAGAGGGAGTGGGTGGAAAGGAAATTGTGGCAGGAGATGTTGATGACTCATTGAAAACATATGAGTGGAAAGAAAGGCTAGAAATATGATGGTAGCTAGAAAAGGGAGTAGGTCTCATTGTTGGTATTTTTAAGAGAGGATGTCTGAAGACGGAAAAAAAGGAACTGACAGAAAATGAGTGGTTGAAGGTATTAATGAGGCAAGGACTAAGCTATCACTTATCAGCTTCTTTAGAGTGAGAAGCAGGGAGAAAGGGATATACAGAAAAATATTTTTACAAGGTATTCCATAGAAATATACATCTCTACTAAATTATTAGTGTAAACTATGTAAAGATAGGCAATATGACTTTTAAAATATAGATTAATCTCATATTTCCTTACCAAGCTCTTAATAAACATTAGTTAGGCCAACTGGATTTTCTGTCTCTACTATTTTATAGCACTAGGAAGAACTTTTAATTCATCAAGTCTATACTCCCATCTAAGATAGGAGACCTTTCATAGCATCCTTCACAGATAGTTGTCCAGGACCTTTTGAACACTTGTGGTTTTAAGAATCTACCACCTGAAATATGAAGCTGCTGCCTTTGTCCAGAGGTCCGGTAGTAAGAAGCTCCTCTTTTATTCAATAGAAATCTGCCTATATGTAACAAGCTCTTTCTGGAACAGCATATCATGAATATAATTTCATTATATGTTTGAAGTCTCCACCATGTATCTGTTTCTTCGTACTCCATCTTCTAACATTACCTGAGACCTGTCTCATAAGAGGACTTCTGGATCCCCAAGAAACTTTTGCCTTTTTAAAACAAGGAATTCCAGTTTTTTGCATTCAGACTAAAGCAGTTGCCCAGAACCATGAATGAAAACGGAATTTTGTCTGATTTTTAAATATCTAAATAAAATGATTATGTAGTTTTTTTCTTTGTCACTAAGTTGATACTGTAAATTACACTGATTTTCAGTTGTTGAACCAGCCTTACATTTTCAGGATAAACCACACAGAATAATAATATATTTTTTTCAAAATATATTGCTGAATTTGATTTGCCATTATTTTGTTGAGGATTTTTGTGTTTATATTTATGAAGAATATTGTTCCATGGTTTTTTTTATAATGTCTTTATCTTATTTTCATATCAAGTAATGTTGCTCTCATAAAATTTCTTTAATTGAGGTTCTCTATTTCTTCTTGTGGGAATTTTGGTAGTTTGTGTCTTTCAGTGAATTTTTGTATTTTATCTAAGTTGTCAAGTTTTTATATTATGACATAGATTTGTTTATATATATATAGAGAGAGAGACTTGTTCTATATATATGGATTCATATATATATATATATATATATAATGTCTGTAGGATTTGTAGTGATGTTCTCTATTTTATTCCTGAGATTTATTTTTGTACCATCTTTCTTTTTTTCCTGATCAGCCTGCCTACAGGCTTACCAATTTTATTGATCTTTCCAAAAACCAAACTTTTGGCTTCATTGATTTTCTTTTCATTGTTACTGATTTCTGCTTTTATCTTTATTATTTCCTTCTTTCTGAGAAATTTGGTTTTAATTTGTTCTTTTTCTAGTTTATCCTAAAGTGGAAGCTTAGATCACTGAGTTAATACTTTCCTTCTTTACTAATATAAGCACTTAATGCTACACATTTTCTTCTGACCTTTTCCTGCATCCCCCCAAATTTGACATATTGTGCCTTTTTATGTCCATTCCATTTGAAATATTTTCTAATATTCATTGTGACTTATTTTTTGAACTGTGAGTTATTTGGAAATGTGTTGTTTAATCTGCAAGCATTTTAGGAATTTGTTAGATACCTTCCTGTTACTAAGTTTTAGTTTAATTTCATAACGATCAGAGAATATTTCTATGTGGTCTCACTTCTTTTAATTTGATTCAGGTTTGTTTAGTAGCCCAGAATATGGTCTATCTTGATAAATCTTTCATATGCATTTGAAAACAATGTATATTTTGCATTTGTTGGGTCAAGTGTCAATTCAGTCAAGTTGGTTGATAGTGGTGTTCACCTTTCTAAATTCTTACTTATTTTCTGTGTACTTGTTTTATCAATTACTGAGAGAGGAGTGTTGAAATCTCTAACTACAATTGCGGATTTTCCTAGTTCTCCTTTCAGGCCTAAGACTTTTTGGATAATGTATTTTGGAACCCTGTGTTAGATGTGTACACATTTAGGAGTGTTACATTTCCTTAGTGAATTGATCCTTTTATCATTATGAAATTACTCTCTTTATCCCTGGTAATATTCCTTTTCCTGAAATCTGCTTTGTTTGATATTAATATAGCCATTTCAGTTTTCTTTTGATTAGTGCTTACATTTATATCTTTTCCCATTGTTTTATTTTTAACCCATTTCTGTCTTTATATTCAAGGTGAGCTTTTTTTGTGGATAGCATATAACTGGGTCTTACTTTTTTATACAGTCTAACAATCTTTAATTCATGTAGTTAGGCCATTTATAATTAATGCAATTATTGATATGATTGGATTAAAACTACCATAAATATTTTTTGTTTCATCTTTTTCTTGTCCCTTTTATCCTCTTTTTCTGCTTGCCTTTGTATTTATTGAGATTTGTTTGTTTGTTTTGTTTTGTTTAAGGTGGAGTCTCGCTCTGTTGCCCAGGCTGGAGTGCAGTGGCACAGTCTTGCTCACTGCCACCTCCACCTCCCAAGTTCAGGCAATTCTCCTGCCTCAGCCTCCCAAGTAGCTGGGACTACAGGCACGTGCCGCCATGCCTGACTAATTTTTGTATTTTTAGTAGAGATGGGGTTTCACCATGTTGGCCAGGCTGGTCTCAAACTCCTGACCTCAGTTGATCTGCCTGCCTCAGCCTCCCAAAGTGCTGGGATTACAGACATGAGCCACCACATCCAGCTGAGAATTTTTATTATTTCATTTTATCTCCACTATTGGCTTATCATTATACTTCTTTTTAAAAATGTAGTGTGTGCTCTAGTGTTTACAACATATATCTTTCATCACAGTCTACCTTCCAATTATATCACTTCACGTATGGTATAAAAACCTTAGAATATTATACTCCAAGTTCTTTCTTCTCAACTCTTGTGCTGTTGTTGTTATGCATTTTTCTTTTACATACCCTATAAACCCATAGTACATTACTACTATTTTTACTTTAAAAAGTCAATCATCTTTTAGAGCAATTAAACATTTTAAAAAATGTCTTATATATTTACCTTCATTTTAACCATTTCTGGAGATCTTAGTTTATTTGTTTGGATTCAAATTCTGTCTGACATATCCCTTCTGCCTGAAGAAGTTTCTTTCTAGTTCTCATTATGCAAGTTTGTTAATAATTAATTCTCTCAGCTTTTCATTTAGTTTCCAAAGTCTGTATTTTTCTTTTATTTTTGAGAAATATTTTCAGGAGTATGGAATTCCAGATTGACAGGGTTCTTTCTTTCAGTACCTTTAAGATTTCCTTTGTTGTTTTCTGGGTTTGCACTTTTTCAGATGAGAAGTATGCTTTCATGTATTCCCTCACCCTGTCTGCCTTTAAGATTGTTTCTTTCCCTTTGATTTTCAGCCACTTGAAGATTATATGCCTAGGTGTGTTTGGTTGTTTTTGTTTGTATTTATACTGCTTGAAGTACTCTGAGATTTTTGGATTTGTGGTTTGATGTCCTTCATTATTTTTGGAAAATGCTTAATTATTATGTAAGTATTTCTTCTGACTCATCCTCTATTTCTTCTCTTTCTGAGATTCCAATTATATGCATATTAGACCATTTGATATTATTCCATAGCTTTTAGATTCTTTGTTTTCTTTTTTTCCCCCTACTCTTTTATTTCTTTGTGTTTTAGTTTGGATAATTTCTGTTGACTCATCTTCAAAATCACTGATTTTGTTTCCCCAGTTGTGTTGAGTGTGCTTGTGAGCCTGTTGAAGCCATCCTTAATCCATAGAAACAGAAAGTAGACTATTGGTTGCCTAGGGTTGGGAAACCTTAGGGTAGGATATGGGGAGTGACTGTGAATAGGTATGGCATTTCTTTTACAGGTGATGCAAGTGCACTAAATTCATTGAGGTGATCAGTGCACAACTCTTTGACTATACTTAAAAAGCATTGATTTGAAGACTTTAAATTGTATGGTATATGAATTATATCTCAATAGAGCATATATATATAAAATATGTATTATATAATTATATATTATATGTAATATATATAATATATAATTATATATAATATGTATATATAATATATACAACTTCATCTTTTATGTTCAAAGGCTACATTGATAAAACTCTGGTTAGAATCAGGAAGGAGCAAGACATCTTACTGATGGTGCTGAAGGGTGTATAGAACAAAAATAATTCTGAAGGAAATGTTACAGGCTGGGCACAGTGGCTCATACCTGTAATCCCAGCACTTTGGGAGGCCAAGGGGGTGGATCACCTGAGGTCAGGAGTTTGAGACCAGCCTGACCAACATGGTAAAACCCTGTGTCTACTAAAAGTGCAAAATTAGCCAGGCATGGTGGTGCATGCCTGTAACCCAGCTACTCAGGAGGCTGAGGCAGGAGAATTGCTTGAACCCAGGAGGTGGAGGTTGCAGTGAGCTGCACCATTGCACTCCAGCCTGGGCAACAAGAGCGAAACTCCGTCTCAAAAAAATAAAAAGAAATGTTACTATAACTGAAGCTGGTGGAAGGATAGGAATTATTATTTTGTCCCGTGTTACATACTTGATTCTAAGTGTTGGAAAATGACTCTATTAAGTAGGAAGTGTTCTTAATTAGTCCATGTCTTTATGTTTCCATGTGTTTTGTAATTTATAGTTATTAGTCTTATAAATTTTAAAAGTTCCAAGTCATCCTGATGCTTTGAGTTCTACCTAGTGGTCAAACTCCTCTCTACTATGTGTCCTTGGACGCCTGACCCACCAGGTACTAGTGTTATCTGGTAGTGATACTGTTGAATTTTAATGACCTGGCTGAGAGTTTCCATATTACCTCCTTCTGTTATAAAACAAAATACAAGTAGGCCTGTGGAGAGTTCTCCAAACTGAGAATTTTAGTACAGCTTTCCTACAGGAGGTTCACTAAGAAATCCACAAACATCATGTGGTAGCCTACCAGGTGCTCCTTAGCTGCAGGAAAGATACCCATGCCCTGGAGTGTTGTATGTTTCCAGACACTCAGAACACTTCTAAGTGTTTCTTGATGTTTCTGGTATGGCATAACCCCCAAAATATATTAAGCAAAATAAAGCAAGGTGTAGAAGAGTGTGTATAATATGTTATTATTTGTATTTAAGAAAAAGTGGGTATAAAAATATACATGTATTTTCAAAACATATCTCTAGAAGATGTGATTACATGGCTGATTCTGGAAGAGAAGTTGGTGCTGGATACCTAGGAGCTGGGTACCTAGAAGCAGGTGTGGGTGAAAGACATTTCACTATATACTTTTGTATCTTTTCAGTTGAAGGGGCAAGGGAAAACTTCTCCTTTGCCCTCTGAAGGTTCACTAAACATCAAATGACAAAAGGTGGATTAATAGTAGAAGAGGCACATAAATTTATTTGATCATAGTTTTCCATGACATGGGAGCCTTCGAATGAAGACCCAAAGATACAAAGGAAACGTTCATTTTTATGCTTAGGTTCAATAAACTGTGGACAACTGTGTAAAAATATGATTGGGCAAAAAGGGTATAATCTAATGCTAATAGACTGAGTAGGGAAACTCAGCAAGGCCTTTCTGTTTGTATTCCTCCTCTCTGTGCAGCATTTCTTCCTTCTGATGGGGCAAGACTCTCTCTGGAATGGGGCTCTTATGACCTACAGTCAAACAAGGTAGGTCAGATAATTTCTTTATGGCCAGTTTTTACACAGAAAGGCCAGGGGGAGAAGTTAGAATAATATTTTTAGGTTTCCTGGCTGGCTTTAAGGAAAAGGGATTCTGGTTTCTATAACCTGCCTTGGGGAAGAGGGATTCTGGTGTCCTTGGAGGAGAATGAGTGGCCAGAGACAGGAGGGAAGAAGAAGGTCAGAGAGAAACTTTTGCTTCTGAGGCTGCTTCTGAAGTCTTCATTTTGGGGTATTGTTTTCTGAGCCCCCAAACAATTTCAAACCATATAACTGTATTTGCTATTCAAACAGGAATACAAGTTAAATTAAAACAAAATCTTCCTAGGATGGTTAATTAAACTTGAGGCTCAGATTGGCCCTTGATAATTTACTCTTTGTCCTTATTTCTCATCCCTGGGGTCTTCTGTCTTCAGGTCTTCCACCCCTGATCAGTTGCCTGCCACAGACATATTCAAATATTCCCCTCCGTCTCTGAGCCTAATAGAAACTCTACACAGGGATGAAGCAGGATTTCTAAAATCTCTCTTGTGACTGATTGCCATATTGAACCTCAGGCTTTCTAGACCAGTGGTTCTCAACCTTGAGCCTGCATCAGAGTCACCTGGAGGACTTGTCAATACGCAGGTTTCTCAGCCCCACACCCAGAGTTTCTGATTCAGCAGGTCTGGGGTAGGACCCAATAATCTGCATTTCTAACAAGTTCCCAGGTGATGCTAATTAGGGACCACACTTTGAGAAACACTGCTCTATCCTAAAATAGTTTCTCCTATGATGGATTGATGTGTAGTTTTTGTGTTCCAGTTGTGTCTTCATTTAGACATATAAAGAAATAAAAGGAGAGCTATGTTCCTTTCCATGGGCATGCTTATAGTGCACCATTGCCCAGCTCTCTGTCCAGCCAACAATACCCTTCAGGCTCGTTATGCCTCATAAGACAATATGCATTTTACCACCAGCAGAGCTGACACATCAGAAACCTGGCATCCTCCTTCATCTCTACTTCCCGGAGCAGACATTCTTGTGGTCACTGCCATCAACTCCCTGTAAAGACTTAATTGGTATTTTAGAGCAGGCACTAGAAGAGTCATGCTAATTACTCATTTCCCTTCCAGTGTTTCTCTCCAGTGGTGCTATTAGCATTTTAGGCAAGACAAAATGCTTTATAATGCTCTTTATAATGAGCATTCTATTTAATGTAGGACATTCAGCTCCTTTCCCTTGTTCTCAAGTCGTTGTGACAGTCAATAATCCCACTGCGCATCCCAATGCTCCCTCAATCCCCCTAACCCTTAACCCCGTGCAACCTGCCTGCACCACCTTTACCCACCTGCACCCCCACCTCCAGGATGGGTGATGAGGGCAACTCAACTTTCCACTGAGAACCACCAAGACCTTTATTAAATTACCTGTCCAGACCTTTGCTTTAGATCCCTGCAAAAATCCCAAGACATATTTTATTATTTTCCTTTTTATCAAATGTTGATATTAAAAAGTTACCAAACTCTGAGGCTGGGCGCAGTAGCTCACGCCTGTAATCCCAGCACTTTGGGAGGCCGAGGCATGTGGATTGCTTGAGGTCAGGAGTTCAAGACCAGCCTAGCCAACATGGTGAAACCCCATCTCTACTAAAAATACAAAAATTAGCAGGACATGGTGGCGTGCACCTGTAGTCCCAACTACTTGGGAGACTGAGGCACAAGAATCACTTGAACATGGGAGGCAGAGGTTGCAGTGAGCTGAGATTGCACCACTGCACACCCCAGCCTGGGCGACAGAGCAAGATCTGTCTCCAAGAAACAAAAAACAAACAAACAAACAAACAAAAAACAGTAATGAAATGCCAAATGTTTCCTTTTGAAAACCCTATTGGTAGAATTGTCCATTGTTCAGTGGACAATTTTCCAGTGTTGTTCAGTCCTCTCTCTGGAGAGAGACCTTTTGGAGATTAGCACTGGAGGGCCCTGTTACCTGATGAAGTGGCTTCGTGTCCTCATTTGACAAGGAGAATTGTGTGACCTCTCCTGTTTCCTTTTTTGCCATGAGTGTCAGGGAACTCGGGGATAGATGTAATGCCTGATAGGGTTGAAAAATTAGCTTAGAAAATCATTTCACCCATATTATCAGCTTTTATATAGTTTTAATTTTTACATAATTAACAGCTTTATTTTTTGTTTTCTTGTGAGTGGCTTCTAATTATTTGAGAAGCAGGAGAGTATTAAATGTCTGTGGTGCATGTGAGTTGTGAAATAATAGCCAGATGTGGCCTAATCAGCTGGGCAAAAGAATGGAAATGACAGAGCACCCAGGGGCCTCCCGTGTGCATGGGGCAGGGTAGGGAACTGAGGATAGGGAGAGCAGCAGGTTTGGAGGCTCCTCTGGCTGGTAGAAAGCAGAAGGGGGCTGCTGAGAATGAAGGGCCAGGTGTGCTCACTGGAGGTGGGGTCAAGGTTAAGGAACTAAGAAGCAATAGGTATCCCTAAACCTTCACCAGAGATGGATATACATTGAGGGGGGTGGCAGCAGATGTCCTGAGCTTGACCTTTCTCTTCAAGGTCAAGAGATGTCCTGCTGGGATTGCCTGGATTAGCTTATGAGACATGTGGAAACCATTCCTTATAGAAACACCTGTTCTGCTTGAGCTCTCATTTGGTCCTGTGGCCAAACAGATTACAGGGAGCAACTGGGTGCAGACAAGGCTGGCATTCCTGAAATGAACTTTCTGCTGACACTTCCTGTCCAGGTGGAAAAGAGCACCTGGCTGTGGGACTGTAATGGGGTGGGAATTCCACCTCATCCTGCCCCTTCTTTGAGAGCCCCGTCTCTCCCGTTTCCTTTTCAAAGTGTCCCTCAAAGTGTCAGGGGAAGCCACAACCCTAAACTCAGGGTTTCCACCCTCTCTCTCTCCTTTGTGATTTATTAAGGGATTGTGTAAGGACGTTTTCAGTGTGGAAGTCCCCTGCTGAAATGCTGTCTTAGTCTATCTGTGCTGCTATGACAAAATACCTGAGGCTGGGTGATTTACAAATAGTAGAATTTTTTTTCCTCACAGTTCTGGAAAATGGAAGTCCAAGATCAAGACACCAGCAGATTTGGTGTCTTGTGAGAGCTGTTTTCTGCTTCCAAGATGGTGCCAAGTTGCTTTGTCCTCACTTGGCAGAAGACAGAAGAGCAAAAAAGGGCCTCACCAGTTCGCTCCAGCCCCTTTATAAGGTTGCTGATCCTATTCTCCAGGGCTCTGCCCTCTTGACTTAATCACCTCCTAAAGGTCCTACCTCTTAACACTGTTGCATCAGGGATTAAGATTCAACATAAATTTTGGGAGGGAACAGAAAACATTCAAAAACAGCAAATGCCATTGTGAGGGCTTGATTTCCTTTGGATTTTCAAACTATCCTTTTCAAATTAACACACCATCTGGATGGGTAGCTTATGGAGGGCTCTGAAATAAGTTATTTGTCCCTCTGAGGAAATGGAATTGCTACTTACTGTAGGTATTTATTTCCCTCTTAAGAAGTGAGATTTTCCCTCAGAGGAAAACAAAAGTGTCTGAAGGGAGGAGAAGGGGGAACTTCAGGAGCCTGGGCCAGGCTGAGTCGGGGGTCCCGTGTTCCACCTTGGTGTGGTGCTGGGGGAACAGAGCATATCAGCCCAGCCCTGGGACAGTGAAGGTAGGAGAGACACTCCTCTAGAAGCACAGTGCTTTCCCAGTGTGTTGGTGTTTCTTTTCCTGCCCTGTCAGCCCTTTATTCCCCTGGCCATGTCACCGAAGCCAGATCCCTGATAGCCAGGAGCCAGCTCCCTCCAGAATGCCCCAACAGCCACCTACCTGCACTGCCTTTCACCTGCAGGAAGGCAGCTCCCATGGCCTTCCTCCCTCACCCCTGCCAGGGCCTCTCCCTAGACCCTGCAATCTACCCTGAGTACCACCGTCATGGTTCTGCGTCTGTCCTCTGTGGGGGAAGAAAGTACCTCGTTCTGGTTCTCCTTGTAACTATTGTTCCTGAACTCTAAACGTATAACCCCCCCACACGGTAATAAAAGCCACCCATCGTCACTGTTGGGATGCTTCCCTATTTCTACATAGCCTGTCCCAGAGTGATGTACTCCTCCCAGCCGCTCCCACATCCCTTTTGCGTGTCTGTCTCTGATTTGGCTTTCCTTTCCTCCTTCCCACCCACCCAGGTGGCTCCCGGCTGCCTCTGCTGCAGTTCAGAGCAACTTCAGGAGCTTCCCAGCCGAGAGCTTCAGGACGCCTTTCCTGTCCCACTGGCCCAGTTGCCACAACAAACAACAGAGAAGACGGTGGTGAGTGAACAGAGTTTACATTATGCTGTTGACCATTCCTCCTCAGTCCACCCTGGGGAGGCTGCAGAGAGGGGAGCTGTGTGTCTTTCTAGGTGCCCAGAAGAGACTGCTGCCCCCAAGGTGAGATGGCACCTGGCCAGCTGCCCAAGCAGGTAAGAGTGAAGGCAGTATGCTGTAGCATTGTCTGTTGATTTTGGCTTAGCTGGTCAGAATTCTTGAACTGGCGAAGGTGGTGGAAATCATCATTGGAACTAGCCAGGAAACAAGATTAAGGGCCTGCGGGTTGCCCTGGCTGCTGCTAGAAACTGTTCACACTGCACGCTGTGGTACTCCATCCTTCCAAGCTGGCTGAAAACTTTCTCCTCCTGCTGCTCCAGGATGCTGCTCTGACTAACTCTGGTTTTGATTTCTCCTTTGACTCCATGGTTCCTTGGCAAGCAGGCATTGTTGGGGATGGAACACAGGTGGAACTTTGTGTTACCTGGACCCATAACCATAGCTAGTTCTGTGGGACTGAGCAGCTGCCAGAACACTATCCATAACCTGGTCACCTGCACTCTGTTTGGTGAGAAATCCTGTGTGATAATAGGTGTAGAGTGAGCCTGTTTAACAAAGACAGTGCCTTCTTTGGGCAGCTGTACAATAGTAAATATTCTAAATAATATTCCAAAATGTGGGTGATCGTTTGGGATTTCATATGTGTAATTTGGGGCTTAGGGTGTTTCCATTGCTTTCTGCAGCTTTAGCAGTGAGGAAGGTGGTTTCCCGCTGCTACCCTTGACCCCCTCCTTAGGGTCTAACTACTACAGTACTTCAGGGGTCCTCAGCTAACATCAGCCTGGGGTGAGGGTGTCAGTTAACTCTCAGTGCAGAGGAGGCTGGCAGGGCCAAAACCAATACCAGTGAAACAAAGAAAGTGAGAAGGTTGGTGGGTGGTGGACCTGGGGAGGCATGAATTAATAACAGGAAGTGTGGTCTGTGATTTCAAAAAAATAATACTGATAATTTCCCCCATGGTGCTAAACCTGCTTTGAACTATGACCCCATCATTGACTTGAGGGAATAGCTTCTTAGATTACTTTGAAAGACATATCGAAGTATGTAGGGCCTGCTGTTTTGTTAAGGAAATAAATCCCATAACATTAAAGGAATTTTTTTAAAAGTGACTATAAGGTTGGACTCTAATATGGCTGATAAAGGGAAAAGCAGTGTCCTGCTACTGCCTGAAAGAAAACACAGCATATGTGGCTCAGATGGGGGCTTTATTTTAGGATTTGTGGGAGGCTGGACCAAAGCGAACACTGAACATATGAGCAAGGCGTTCTTTAAAGGAAAGCCTTAAGGCTTTTCACACTGTGAAGCACCGTAGGTAGAAGATCAAAGGATGCACAAAATAATGCAAGTCCCTTCTATTTTAAAGACACATCTGCCTGGCCAAAAGTCAGGATGAAAGTAGTGCCTCTGGTACTGGTGAGTGGGCTATGCCAGAAGCCCTCTTTGTTTAGTCACCTACTTTATGCTGTGACGGGAACATTTGCAGTGAGGAAAAGAAGTAAATAAAAATGAGATAAAACTTCAGTTTTAAAGCCTAGGGGCACATGACACCATAGGACTCACCCAGTATTCCTTTCTTTGCATCATTGGGGCCATGTGAGCAAAGCTCTTGAGATACATCTGGTCAGTGCAAAGGCAGTCTAGAACTCATGCCCTTCTTTGTGAGTCCCTTAAAGTCTGAGCCAATGGGACACTCATAGGTAATACAGGACTCCTTAGCAAGTTGTAAACATTTTTTAAATTTAATTTAATTTTAAAAAATTTACAAATAATAGTTGTGCATATTCATGGAGTACATGGTGATGTTTTGATATAATTAATATATGGTGATCAGATCTGGGCAATTAGCATATCCATCATTGCAAACATTTATCATTTCTTTATGTTTGAAACATTCAATATCCTCTTCTACCTATTTGAAACTATATAATATATTATTGTTAACTATAGTCATCCTACCATGGTATAGAACAGTAGAACTTCTTCTTCTTATCTAGCTGTAATTTTGTATCCTTTAGAAATCTGTCCCTATCCCACCCTTCTTCCTACCCTTCCCAGCCTCTAGTATGCTCTGTTCTACTTTTTTACTTCTTTGAGATCAATATTTTTTAGCTTTCACATATGAATGAGAACACACCATGTCTAACTTTCTGTTCCTGGCTTATCTCACTTAATATAATGTCCTCCAGTTCTATCCGTGTTGCCGCAAATGGCAGGATTCATTCTTTTTTATGGCTGAATAGTATTCCATTGTGTATCTATACAACATTTTATTTATCCATTCATCTTCTGTTGGATACCTACATTGATCCCATTTCTTGGCTATTGTAAATAGTGCTGCAGTAGACATGGGGATACAGACGTCTCTTCGATGATTTCCTTTTTTCCTTTGGATAAATTTCCAGTAGTAGAATTGCTGGATCATATGGCTGTTTTATTTTTAGTTTTGGAAGAACCTCTATATTGGTTTTCATAGTTGCTATACTAGTTTATATTCCCACCAAGAGTATATGAGTTTCCTTTTCTCCTCATCCTTGCCAGCATTTGTTGTTTGTCTTTTTGAAAATAGCCATTCTAACTGGGATAAGATGATACCTCATTGTGGTTTTGATTTGTATTTCCCTGATGATTAGTGATGTTGGGCAGTTTTCCATATATTTGTTGGCAATTTATATTTCTTCTTTTGAGAAATGTCTGTTCATATCATTTGCCCATTTTCTAATCAGATTGTTTTTCTGCTGTTGAATTGAGTTCCTTGTATATTCTGGATATTAATCCCCTGTCAGGTGAATAGTTTGCAAATATTTTCTCCCATCCTGTAGGTTTTTTCACTATTTGTTTTATTTGCTTCCCTTGCTATGCAGAAACATTTTCATTTGATATAATACTATTTGTTTATTTTTGCTTCTGTTCCCTGTGCTTTTGAGGTCTTATTCATAAAATATTTTCCCAGACCAATGTTCTGAGGCATTTTCCTTATGTTTTCTTCTAGTAATTTTATCATTTCAGGTCTTACATTTAGGTCTTTGATCCATTTTGAGTTGATTTTTGTATAGGATGAGCGGTGGGGGGTCTAGTCTTATTCTTCTGCATTTGGATATCCAGTTTTCCCAGCACCATCTATTCAAGAGAGTATCCTTTTCCCAAAGATGTTCTTGGTACCTTTGCTGAAAATCAATTGGCTGTACCTATGTGGATTAATTTCTGGGTTCTCTATTTGTTCCGTTGGTCTATGTGTCTGTTTTTATGCTAATACCATGCTGTTTGGGTTACTACAGCTTTGTAGTATATTTTGAGGTCTAGTAGTGTGATACCCCCAGCTTTGTCATTTTTGGTCGGGACTGCTTTGGCTATTTAGGGCCTTTCATTGTTCCATACAAAGTTTAGGATTTTTTTTCTATTTATGTGAAGAATTTCATTGGTATTCTTTGGATAATATTGTCATTTTAACAATATTAATTCTTCTGATCCATGGGCATAGGATGCGTTTCCACTTGTTTGTATCCTCTTCAATCTCTTTCATCAGTGTTTTGTAGTTTTTCTTGTAGAGGTCTTTCACCTCCTTGGTTAAATTTATTCCTATTTTTTTTTAGTAGCTATTGTAAATCGGATTTGCTTTCTTGATTTCTTTTCAGCTAGTTTGTTGCTTGTGTGTAGAAATGCTACTCATTTTTGTATATTAATTTTGTATCCTGTAACTTTACTAAATTTGTTTATCAGTTCTAAGTTTTTTGGTAGAGTCTTTATATATATATATATATATATATATATATATATATATATATATATATATATATATGGTGTTTTTCATCTTTTCATTTCCAGATGTAAGAATCCCTTGAGCATTTCTTGTAAGGCCAGTTTAGTGGTGATGAATTCCTTTACTTTTTGCTTGTCTGTGAAATATTTTATTTCTTCTTCATTTCTGAAGGTTAGCTTTGCTGGGTATAGTATTCTTGGCTGACAGAGTTTTTCCCTTCTTTCTTTCAATAGTTTAAATTCTATTCTTTCCTGGCCTGTAAGATTCCTTTTGAGAAATCTCCTGTTAGTCTAATAGAGATTCCCTTATATGTAACTTGGTGCTTTTCTCTTGATGCTTTCAAAATTCTTTCTTTGTCTTTGACTTTTGACAATTTGATTATAATGTGCCTTAGTGAGGACCTGTTTGGGTTTAATCTATTTGGGGTTCTTTGAGCTTTCTAGACCTGAATGTCCATCTCTCCCCTAAGACTTAGGAAGTTTTCTGCTAATTTTTATTGCATTAATTGATTTCCTTTTAGTTCTTTTTAAATGATATCCATCTCTTTGTTGAATTTCTCATTCAAATCTTCAATTATTTTCCTGATTTCATCAGATTATCTCACTGATTTTCCTTAAGATTATTATTTCGAATTGTTTTTCTGGCATTTCATATATTTCCTTATGATTGGATTCTGTTACTGGATAATTACTATCTTTCTTGGGAGGTAACATATTTTCTGATTTTTTTATGGTTGTGTTTCTACATTGATTTCTATGCATCTGGTGGAAAAGTTGCCTCTTCCAATTTTATGAAGTAGGCTTTGTAGAGAAAGACTTATATGAATGTGTCTTGTGATGTCGGTTCAGTGGGGTGCATTTGCCTGGGTTCTAGGTGGATGCATTAGTGTAGTCTCTGTGTAGTTTCTTCACCTGTAATCCACACTAGTGGCATTTGTGATTTCTCAGTGACCTAGGCTGAAAGAGTTTGTGGTGACAGTGGTGCAGCTTTGCTAGGCTGGGCTTGCTGGGCTCTTTCTAAGGTTGGAGGATATAAATGTAAATGATGGATTGACCAAATTTGGGTCTAGCTTGCTGGGTTTGGGAGCCCAGGGCTGTTATTTTGGCCAGGAGCATGAGCATGCAGATGTTTGGCCAACCTAGTGTGCCTGTCAGGAGTGGTCTGTGGGGCTGCTTTTCAGACTCAGGACAGGATGCGGACAGAAGTCCACTTGGCTGGACTCAGGTTGTGTTTGCTGGGGACTACCTACAGGTCTGTTTCTTATGCTTGTGACACAGCTGCATGGTTGCCTGCTTGGCTGGGGGGCATGTCTGCTGGGGATGGCCCATGGGGCTCTTTCTTCATCTCAGGACATGGGCTTATAGCTGCTCAGCCAGCCTGGTGATGTGTCTGCCAGGGGCAGCCCATGCAGCTGCTTATTAGGCCCAGGATGCAGGTGCAAGACTGCTCAACTGGTGTGGTGGCATGCCTGCCAGAGGTGGCCCACAGGGCTATATCTCAGGCTGGGACGTGGACAGACAGCTGCTCAGCCAGCCTGGGAGAATATCTGCTGAGGGTGGTCCACAGCGTTGTTTCTTAGGTTTGGGACCCAGGTGCAAAGCTGCTCAGCTGGCATAAGGGCATACCTGCCAGGAATGTCCTGTGGGTTTCTCAGGCCCTTTTTTGGGGGTGGGGGTGGTACAGGGCCACTAGGCAGGCCAGGGACATGCCTGCAAAGGGGGGATGCTATTATGGAGCTGTTTCTCAGGTCCTGAGTGTGGATGCATAGCCACTTTGCTGGTGCAGGGGCATATCAACTGCTTGAAGGCTCAGGGGCCTCTCCTATTTAGAGGAGGGCATGCAACCATTTGGCTGGCTCAAGGGTGGGTTTTCCCCAGGCAGAACTGGCAGATTGTTCCTCTGGCTGGAAGTGCAATGGCAGGGGTTGGTTTCCCTGCTGTACAGGACCAGAGTCACAGCTGATCTTGGGCCCATGCAACTGGGGTTGTGGCTACAGCCACCCACATAAGCTTGGTGTAAGGAAAATGGAGCTCCAGTGCTGGAAGGTGCAGTACTTACTGGCCCCCAGAGCAGGATGCAATCCAGAGGTGGCTGAGGTCTCAAGATTGTGCCTTGCTGCAGCAGCTTGGCTCACAAGGGATGGGAGAGATGGGAAGTGCATACTTTGTGCTCCGAATTCAGGGCAATGTGGCTGTGTGAATTCCAGTGGCTCTCCAAACTGGGCCCAGGACTTGTAAGGACTGTGGGATTCTCCTGTTGTAAGGACTGTAGGTGTTTGCAATGCCAGTGGGGACCGGTGGGGATCTTCTGCTTATCTTTTCCTTGCAACAAGAAGTCTCTCCTGACTCCAGACAATCTTGGCAGGGGAGATAGATCTGCAGAGGTTGGGTGGCTCCATGCTGCCCTCCTGGACACCACAGGTGTATCTCCATGCCCTGCTACTTTCTAACACTCTCCCTACCAACATTTCTTAATAGATGTTTCAAAAGGGCAAGTAACCTGTAGTTTCCTCCATAGGTATTTTCAGAGATGTCAGTGGAAAGTCTCTTATCTGAATTCTATGACTTTTTTTTTCTTTTTTTTTTTTTTGAGACAGGGTGTTGCTCTGTTGCCCAGGTTGGAGTGCAACAGCACAATTATAGCTCACTGCAGCCTCGACCTCTCAGGTTTAAACAATCCTCCTGCCTCAGCCTCCTAAGTAGCTGGGACTATAGGCACACACCACCATATCCAGCTTTTGAATTCTTTGTAGAGATGGGATCTTGCTGTGTTGTCAGGGCTGGCCTCAAACTCCTGGGCTCAAGCAATCCTCCCACCTCAGCCTCTTGAAGTGCTGGGATTCCAGGCTTGAGCCAACGAACCCAGCCTTATGAATTCCGTGTTTTTAATGAAGATGATCATTCTGCTTTTGATATAATAACTTTGAACAATGAATTATGATATATATATCAAATTATATTTACATATGCTTCATTATTATTTTTCTTTTTTTAATGAAAGTACATGTATTTTAGAGAGCTCTATATTGCTTGATATATAACTTGTAGTTAAATATGGGGTTTGATCATGTTTCTTTAAAAGGTGGGCATTAGGACCTTGATCAATAGTGTAACCATCTCTTACGTTATTGTTTCTATGAAAAATTCAGTCCCCTTCCCCAGAAAAGAATGTAACTCCCATCAATGTGGCTAACATGACATGACATTCTACCAGGCATGACTTTCATTCATTTAACAAGTGCTCTTTGAATGAGGAGTGAGGCAAAGTCCCTGCTCTCACGTAATTTTCATTCTAGTGGAACAGGAAGACAGTAACATCCAGCAGTGATTTTAAAGTACAGTAAGAGCCAGATGCTGTGGCTCACACCTGTAATCCCAGCACTTTGGGAGACCAAGGCGGATGGATCACCTGAGGTCAGGAGTTCGAGACCAGCCTGGCCAACATAGTGAAACCCTGTCTCTACTCAAAATACAAAAATTAGCTGGACATGATGGTGTAGGCCTGTAATCCCAGCTACTCAGGAGGCTGAGGCAGGAGAATCACTTGGACCCAGGAGGCAGAGGTTGCGGCGAGCTGAGATCGCGCCATTGCACTCCAGCCTGGGGGACAAGAGTGAAACTCCGTCTCAAAAAAAAAAAAAAGAAACAATAAAGTACAATAAGGAGCATAAGGGGATGAAGAGATTGGGTAGAGGGGTATTTTATATAGGATGGTCAAGTGGTCAAGAAAGGCCCCCCTGTGGAGGTGATATGTAAGCAGAAAACAATAAAATAAAGGAGGGGGTCTTGAGAAGATCTGGAGGAAGAAAACTATTCAGGGTAGGAAAACTGTCCATTGCAAAGGCCCTGAGTCAGGAGTGAACTTGGTGTGGTTGGAGGAACAGCAAAGCAGGCCAGTGAGTGTAAGAGTGGGAGGGCAGAGCTTAATAGGAGATGAGTTTGGGGCAGTGAGCCAGAGCTGGGTGATGCAGGGCCGTGTAGGCCATGGTAAGGGGTTTGGGTTTTATTCTGTGTGTAGTGGGCAGCCATTGGAGGGTGTTAAGTGGGGAGCACCGCAATCTGACTGTGTGAGGGAGCTAACTGTAGGGAAGTGAGAGTGGAATTAGGGAGGCACATAGGAGACTGCTACAGTGGTCTAAAAGCATGACAATGGTGCCTTGGATGGCTGGTGGCAGTGGAGGTGGAGGGGAGTGATAAGATTAAAGTTAGAACCAGTCAGAGCTGCTTATGGATTGGAAGTGGAGGGAGAGGAGTGAGGGATGAATTCTGGGCCTGAGCACTTGGGTGGACAGTGGAGCCTTTTGCCTGGATGGGAAATGCTGTGAGAAGAGCACATTTAGCTGGAGGAAATGGAGAGGTCCTGTATGTCTTGTTAGATAAGCCAGTCGAGATCTGGAGTAGACAGTGAGATGTCAAATTCTGGAGGTCAGTGGAGAGGGTGGGATAAGAAATGTGTGTGGAGATCACCAGCTTCTGGATGGTGTATAAAACCACAGGACTGGATTTGATCACCTCAGGAGTGAGCATGCCAGTCATTTAGAGACGGGGAAAAGGAAGTAGGAAGAAAAACAGGAGAGCATGGCATTCCAGAAACCAAGGGAAGAAAGTCTGTCAAGAAGCAGGGGTGGTGATTAACTATGTTAATGTGTTAGTGCAGCCACGAGGTGTTTAAACCCATTATCACACAAGGAATGATGCTCTCTTGGTGATTTCCTGCTTTCATATGTGTTCGTGGACCTCATCTTCCCCCATTAAACTGGAACCTCATTGAAGCCAGGGATGATTTCTTTCTTCTGTTTGCACTTAGAGCCACTTAAAGCTGTCCCTTAACTGCCTCACTCCAAAAGCTCTGCAGTGTGAGGTTGAGGCCTGAAGTGACGTTTCCTGAGGAGCTACTTTTGGAGTTGTGTATTGGGTGGGTGTGGGGACAGTGATGACAAGGAAGTCCAGGACTAGTCCCTTCCTAGGCAGAAGAGGCTACTGATATCCCAACTCTGAGTAGAAGGGTTGGGTGGCAGAGGAGAAGACAGATGGAAGAAGTAGGACAGATGCACAAATGTGTCAGATTCTTAACTTCAGAAACTGTCAGCCCCACAAACGTGGTCATAGAACTTCAACCTGAGGAAGCAGGGACACTGATGGGTCATGATGGGCTCTTTGCCCACTGATTGATGCAGCAGTGGGATTCTTTACCATACTCTGTAAAGTACACATGACCCCCTGCTGCAGATGAAGAAGGATGGAGGAGTCCCTCATGGCTTCCCTTGAAGGTTTCTTACACAGAACTACCAGTTCAGGTTCTTACAAAGACTGGATAATCCAGATGGTACCTGTGTCTGGGGAGTAATTCTATGGGCTGCGCTTTGGGACAGCAGTGGCCTCTTCTCTTGACCAGGTTTCATTTCTCTGTATTGATGAGGAGTACCCAGGCCTGAGGGTCTGGCCATTTTTGACTAGAGGCAGTATCTGTGTTGGAATAGCCTGAAGACCCTGTCTTAGCCTATTTTATGCTGCTGTAAAAGAATATCACAAACCAGGTAATTTATAAAGAATAGAGACTTATTTCTTACAGTTCTGGAGGCTGGGAAGTCCAAGTTCAAGGGCTGGCTTCTTGCCAGGGCCTTCTTGCTGTGTCATCCCACGGTGGAAGGTAGAAGGACAAGAGAGAATAAGAGAGCAAGAGGAGGGTTGGACTTTTTTTTAAATAAGAAACCCACTCCTACAATAATGAACCCATTCCTGAAATAACATGAATCTATTAATGAGAACAAAGCCTTCATTACTTAATCACCTCTTAAAGGTCCCACCTCTCAAAACCGTTGCAGTGGGAGTCAAGTTTCCAAAACATGAATTCTGGGGGACACATTCAAACCACAGCAACCCCCTACAGGGTTGGACAAACTGGAAGTTAATCTATATAGGTAAAGGGTTGGGTTTTCTGGCAATTGGGAGATTGCGATGAGGTTTGGATCTTGTCCTGTCTCTTACATAAACATAATGAAAGCAGACGACCCATAGTATCATAGGAAAGCATAAGAGTAATTTCTGGTTGGGGCACTTGTGAACACTTTGACAAAATGGAAAGCCATCTTGGGGGAGGCAGGACCAGCAGTTGAGCCCCTACAACACAAAGGAGACCCTGGGTGCGGGATGAAGGTGGACCCCTAGCCCTGTAAAGTTTAAGCTGGTAGGAGGCCTGCAGATCAAGGGTTCATCCCCTGGAGTTTTTCTTGGAACTTATTACTAAATGTTTCCAGATAATCCCTGATCATGGGGCCTGATAAAATTCATTCTTACTGCTAAAACTATGTTAAGATAAAAGTTGTTTTTATTCATTTGCTATCCATTAAAGCCATCACAGACTAATTATTTTTCAAAAGAAAGAAAACTATGCTACAGCTCTGCAAGTAACTTATGACCAGATGTTGAGATCTTGGGATACCCTGCCCTGCTTAAAATATATTATAAGAGATCTTTAGACAGTAAAATCTAAAAATAAAACCCAAAATATAAAAAAAGATGAATAATAGCAAAGCATGATAGTTCAAGAGTTTTGTTGGCTTTTTAATTTTTTATTTATTTTTAAAAGAATCATTAGTTATAATTTCATACCAGTTGCTGAGACTTAGATATACCAATTTTGTAGTGGGGAGGGAGGGTAATTATAGAAAGCAAGAGAGAAAACTTTGAAAATCACTGTTAGCTCAGCCGGGCGTGGTGGCTCACGCCTGTAATCCCAGCACTTTGGGAGACCGAGGTGGGTGGATCACTTGAGGTCGGGAGTTCGACACCAGCCTGGTTAACATGGTGAAATCCTGTCCCTACTAAATATACAAAAAAAAGAATAGCCAGGTGTGGTGGTGCACACTCGTAATCCCAGCTACTTGGGGAACTGAGACAGGAGAATTGCCTGAACCTGGGAGGCAGAGGTTGCAGTGAGCCGAGATTGCACTACTGCATTCCAGCCTGGGCAACAGAGTCAGACTTCGTCAGAAAGAAAAGAATAAAAGAGAGAGAGAGGAAAGAAGGAAGGAAGGAAGGAAGGAGGGAAGGAAGGAAGGAAGGAAGGAGGGAAGGAAGGAAGGAAGGAGGGAAGGAAGGAAGGAAGGAAGGAAGGAAGGAAATCAATCACTGGTAGCTTAGCTGAATAGTCCATGGGTATCTGCAAGCTAGACTTTATCATGCACACAAATCCTCGATCTAAAAATGAGTGGCAGTGGAAGTAGTGGTAGGAGGCAGGAGTGAAGATCATGTCCCATTAATTTAGGGTATCTGAAAAAGACGTGGAGCCATGACTGCTTCTGTATCTACCAGCTTTCCACTTAGCTGCCTGAGGTGAGTAGAAATTATATTAGGCATTTCCATAACCTTATCCTTAACTGTGTTCCCTCCTTTTCTTAGTGCCTGAGGTGAGTCTGGCAGTATCTGTACTTCCCTGCTCCCATTCATACAACCATGTTCTTAGATCCTGGCTTGATGTGGGTTAGTCAGCTGTTCTAGGCCAGATTTCTCAGATTTCTGTTCTTACCTGTTCTGCCCAACTACAACAGCTGGTGTCCTGCTGGCCTTTGCCTGAGTCACACCCTCAGGTCATGCATCCCCACCTTTTACAGGCAGGGTTGTTAGCATGAGAGCCCTGCTCTGTGCTCTCAGTGAAGGATGAAGGGAGAGGAGAAGAGCACCCTAGGATGCTGGTAGAACTTTCAGTTCTCTTGCCAACAAATTGAATGAAGTTAGAAGCTCTCCGTAAGTTTTATTCAGTACAGACCTGGTGTCTGATGCTACAGTTAAGAGACTAGATTTAGAAGGAGGGTGGTGCACCTGTTTTGGTGGGAGGAATGAATGGGATGTAAGGAGAGATGATGGTCTGTGCATCTCAGACAAAGGAACTTAAAAAGAGGAGTCTTCAAAAGAATGCCCCCTGCAAAAAAAAAAAAAAAAAAAAAAGGAGGCTTAGAAATATCTCAAATGAACAGAAATTTGAATTACAATCCAGAAGATGAAAATCAACAGGAATAATAAGAAAATAAGGAAACATTCTTTACTTAAAAATTTTAAAAAGTCAGCTAAACGTTGCTAGGATGTGAAGGGGTAGATGACATTTTAAGATAAAGACTATGGGAAAGGAGTTTATTTTGCCACTATCTTTTCTATAGGCTTTTGCTAATAGCTGTGAAGGGTCTTAGATTTCATATACTTTCAAGTTAAGGAGTTAACCTGCCACAGTTTCATACCTGCTGGCAGAAGATGAGACTCATGGGGTAGAGATAAGGGACTTTATGATTCACAACAGTAACAGTAATCAGAACATCATCATTTTCCTGTACTGGTTCTTTGAGCTCCAACCCCCACAGGTTGACACCAAGAGAGCCAGGTGATACCTGCACACACAGTGGAGAGAATTCCTGAGCCTAGGGAACTTGAGAGCTCTGTAATGAACAGTAAGTGTGCCTGCACTTTGCTCCATCCTGAGGGAAACTCTCTCTTTGAAGGCTGTTTGCTATGCAAATCTTCTTGAAAAGATAGTCGGGAACAAAGGCAGTCAGTGCCTCTGCTTGCAAGATGTGCAAAACTGTGAGAGACATGAAGAATGGTCTCCCAACTGTTGCATCAATAAAAAGGAAAGGAAGCTAATGTTTATTTCATCCTTGTCATGCACCAAGCACTGACCAGGAGACTTCTCATTTCTTGCCTCATCAAAGTTTCAAAGCAGCCTTGCCCAGGGTGGTACTGTTGTTGTTTTATCGGTAAGGAAGCTGGTGAGTCAGGGAACTGGAATATCTAGGTGGAGGACTTGTGTATGTATTATGTACTTCTTATAATGTAAGCATTGTGCTAAGAAGTAGCTAAAACTTAATTAGATGCTTATCAGGTGCCAAGCACAGTTCTAAGAGCTCTCCATGAATTGTTGATTTAATTCACCACAACTAAGATTATCAGGTGCTGCTGAGGAAACTAAGGCACAGTGGGTGACAGAACTGAGATTCAAATCTGCACATTTAACCACTGTGTGGTTGCGAGTTGTGGGTTTTTGTTTTTGTTTTTGAGAGAGGGTCTGGCTCTGTCGCTCAGGCTGGAGTGCAGAGGTGCCATCTCTGCTCACTACAACCTCTGCCTTCTGGACTCAAGCAATCCTCCTGCCTCAGCCCCTTGAGTGGCTGAGACCACAGGCATGCACCACCATTCCCAGTTAATTTTTGTGTTTTTTTGTAGAGTTGTGGTTTGCCGTGTTGTCCAGGCTTGTCTCGACCTCCTGGGCTCAAGTGGTCGACTTGCCTTGGCCTCCCAAAGTGCTGGGATTACAGGTTCCCTGTGGTTGTGTTCTTTCTTCATTCCTCAGAGTCATAGCAAGAGGGTCATAGTCAAACTAATGTGTGCCCAGAGGAAGTGGATGTATTTGAAAACTGCCAAGTAGAAATAGTTGAAGTGGGACTGATTGTGTTTAATCTGCAGAATGATAAAGGATAAGTGATGCCTGTCTTCAAACATTTGTAGGCATGTCTTATAGAAGAGGAGAGTTCACTCTGTGTGACTGCAGGAGGCAGAATTGGGTCCATTTACGGGGAGGCATATCATGGCTCAGCAAAAATCATTTCTTGAATAATACAGTGCCCCCTGACATCATAAGGGAATGGACTACCTGTGAGAGTGGTAACTCAGTGGTTACCTTTCAAAGATGTGCTGTCTGGGCTCTGTCAAGGTCCCCACAATAAACCCCTCTGCTATAGGAGCTGGGCAATGGAAGAGGATGGCCCTAATGAGGTTCTCTAGACCTTTCCTAAGAGAGCTGACCCTGCTAACAGTGACCTGAACTCCTTCCCCTGCCATGCCCCCTGTCCCTTCTTGGAGCCTCAGGCCTCAGGTCTGTTGGACATGCACAGAGATGGTTTCTGCATGTGTGAGGAGGGTGCCTTACCTCTTGAGAATCCAGGACCACCCTAAGGATCTGGAGGAGTTAGTTCTGCAGCTCCTCGCACTCTCAGGCCTGCCCTATTTTTGGTTCCTTACCCGCTATCAGCCTGTAATCACCAGCCTCATGGCTCAGCTATACCCTGGCAAATCTCGTTGCACACATGAGGCCCACTGTTGCCCAGTTTGGGACAGAATAAGATTCTGTGGTTCTGTGATTCACTCTTTCCTTGTCAAGTAGCCCAAGCTTTAAAAAGCAAGTGGGAACAGGTGGTTGGGCCAGTGCTGCTCTGTGATGACCTTGCTACGGCCCCCTGACAACTCCCCTGGTGTAGCTGTAGGCCTGGGCTGAGCAGATCTGATCCAGATGCAGGCCCAGAGGGGAACCCTGGGCAGGTAGGGAAAGGAATTTGGGGAGATGGTAAGAAACAGGAGTGGTGGCAACTGGCTTCACAGTATATGTTCCACTCTGCTAGAAATGGCCTCTGCTAGGGGCTAAAGACTCCCCAGAAGTAGTCTTGTCTTAATTACTCTGTGGACATCTTTAAAAGAATCTCATTTTCATCAAAGGGTTTTAAAGAGTGATGCTTAGCCCAGTGTAAAGGGCATAGTCAAGATCTGATCCTGAAATAATATCTCTGCTATCCTAGATGTCAGGAGAAACTAAAAATATCCTCATAACCCTGAGGAATTCTTGGTTTATTGCACCCATCTCTTTTCCCTCTGAACATCCTTCCAGAAAGTGAGAGAGTGAGGAAGTGAGCCAAGAAGCTTTAATTACCCAATCTGCTGACATTATTTTATCTGCGCCACTGATATTAAATCTGCACAGCATTCCACTTAAATCTCAGTGCTAACAGCAGCCTCTACAAACTTGGGCCTTTGTCCTTCTGCTGGCTGTGGCCCATGCTCTGTTTCCCACCCTACTGCACCCTCCTTCAGACTTCTTAAATTCCGAAGCTTTCTGTGGCACCGGAAATGATCTGTCTGTGGAATGTCCATACTTCAGGAAAGTCCCCGATCTGTGTGTGTTTATTCCCAAATTCTGCTCCCCCCAACTCAGCCTGGCTGTTTGTGGTTGAGTTCTGGCACGTGCCCATCATTACAGAAACCTGGATTTGGCAGGGGCATTGTGCCATATTTCTATTATTGGCATATTTGGAGAAGGAGGAGAAAGTCTGTCTAGTTTTTTTTCCCTCTCTTTTATGTACAAATGAAAATTTCTGTCTTATGTTATTAACTTTTCTGGCCAACCAGTGAAATACATCTTCAATTTCAGGTTGGTTCCCTGGAGTGTGGAAGTTTTCTCTTGGTTTAATGTTGACTCTGTCGCCTAATAGCTGGTTCATTTAGCACCCAATTGGTGCTATGGTTATAGCTGCAACAGGCCACATTTAAGGAGGGCTTCCAGGGAACCAGCACTGTGTTGAGGACTTCAGTCCTCATGACCTCTGAGACAAGTGTTGTTACCATCTTCCCCCCATTATAGGGAGGACATGAGCTGAAAGAGGTCCAAGAACTTTGCTGAAGGTCTTGCAGCAGAGCTGGGGCTGGAAGCCAGGCAGTGTGGTGCCAGAGCTGGCTGACTTCAGCGCCTACTTCATGCTTCCATGCATGCATACATATGCCATACATACATATGGGAGACCCATAGGATGTATGCCATCAATGCATACTGATGTGCACACCAGTGCTCCCACCATCCTCCCAGGAAGTGTTGATATCATTATAAAACTCTGTCCTCAGCAAGTGTGTATTAAGAACTTACTGTGTGCAGATCCAAAGATGTACAAACCCAGGTCCTGCTCATAGGCATTGCAGCTGGGGAGACAAGGCCTTGATCTGCAGAATCTGAGCTGGGCTGAGCAGGGGAAGCTTCATCTGTTTTGTTCACTGCTATGTCTCCAGGGACTATTATAGCACCTGGCAGGTAGTAAGCTCTCAAAAACGTGATGAATGAACAAACTTCTAATTAAACAAAGCCATTTACATTTTTACAAATAAATGAAAGAACACATGAATTTCTAAAAAGTTTGAAGGACATAAACTGAGATTAGAGGACAGCCTTTTAAATTATTTACGTTAAGCGGTATAAAAAGCTCCCCATGTTGTCCTCATTTTTCTTACTTTTCATAGGTTGGTGGGCACGATGTGATGGATGGGGTGCTTGTGGACCCATGTCATAGATAGGGCTTTAGAGGCTCTTAGATCCTGCTGGGTGGGGAGGGCTTAGAGAAGAGATGGACCTTGAGGTTGGAGTAGGACTCAGCTGGGTGGAAAAGACCATGGGAGGCATTCCAGAGCTGCCCCCACTGGCAGGATTATACTGGAGAGGGCAGAAGCCTCATGTTTTGCTTGATAGCAATCGTTTTGAACTTCACGACTTCTCGAAGCTTGGATCCTTTTCTGTCTTACTCAATACTTGCCTCACTTCCCAAGGCTTGCCTAACTTGGTTGGGTATCTAAGTGTACATCCCTTCAAACCATGTAGGAATCCCTGGACCTGATACTTGCCTGAATTCTGGCACCAGATCAAGAAGAACAAGCTTAAACGGAGGCTGAGGCAGGAGAGTAAAATACTGGGGAGCCACAAGTCAGCACCAGGCAAGTTGACAGGAATCAAGAGGACCTGGATGCAAGAGCCATAAAATCCCATGCACTCTGACTCAGTAATTGAAGTTCTTGAAATGTATCTTGGGGAAATAATCTAAAGGATTATTATGGAAATAAAGGGGCCAGGTGTGGTGGCTCATGCCTGTAATCCCAGTGCTTTGGGAGGCCAAGGTGGGTGAATCACCTGAGGTCAGGAGTTCAAGACCAGCCTGACCAACAAGGTGAAACCCTGTCTCTACTAAAAATACAAAAATTAGCCAGGCATGGTGTCAGGTGCCTGTAGTCCTAGCTACTCGGGAGGCTGAGACAGGAGACTTGCTTGAACCTGGGAGGTGGAGGTTGCAGTGAGCCGAGATCATGCCGCTGTACTCCAGCCTGGGTAACAGAATGAGACTCCATCTAAAAAAAGAAAGAAAGAAAGAAAGAAAGGATCAGTTTATGTCCATGAAACTGTTTGTTTTAATGAAATTGGAAGCAACCTAAATAGTAAATAACAGGGGCATCATTAAGTTTTGGCTTGTCTACTTGCTAGAATATGATACAGTCACTGAAAATAAGATTTATGAAGAGTGTTCCATATCTGAGGAAAAGCATGAAAAATGAAGGCAATGATAATTTGTATATATAATTTTATTTTTAAAAGTACATACATAGAAACAGATTGGAAAAATATTACAGAAAATTATAGTATTTATATTGGGGGAAAAGTCATTTGTAATCGTACTCACGACCAAACTTTTAGCCAATATTGTTTATTTGTTTATGAATGACAAAAGATGATGAGACAAGGGAACTCGGGTGAGTTCAACATTCCTGTAAAGAGTCAGAAACCAAGACACTGTCTGTCTAGCAAAGGAGTAAGGACAGCTATGAGAACATGTCCAAAATAACCCGGAGTGTGAAATAACAGGTTCCTGGACAGAGGGGACATGAAGCCTGAGCTTGGCCGGAATAGGGTGAATGTGGCCGGGGAAGATACCTTTGTCTTTTGTTTTTCTAGAGGCTTGGTATCTGTAACCAAATTTATCCCTGAGCCCGAGACACAGGAACAGGGCCCATGAGTCAGTGTTTCTGTGGCAGCCTTCTGGGTCAGTGCCTACACAGGCAGGGCAGGCACCAAATTTGACACAGCTGCATGGGGAAGATATCTTTGAAGTCATGTCTTGTGTCTAGACTTAGGGAGACATGGGAGTGATTAGGGTAGAGGTGGCCTTATGTATAGCCCGGCTCCCCTGAATAGTCCCAGCATGAGTATTCAAAGAGCCCTTTCCATTCTCAAGAGCTCTCATTTGGATAATATGTTATGTGGTCACCCTAATTATTGAAAAGGAGGTTGGAGGACATTCTGGGTTGATGACAGTTGCTCTGCTGGTTGCCTCTAGTGCTTAAGAGGCCGTGAATTGTCCGGGCATGGTGGCTCATGCCTGTAATCCCAGCACTTTGGGAGGCTAAGGCAGGCAGATTGCTTGAGGTTGGGAGTTCGAGCCCAGCCTGGCCAACATGGTGAAACCCCGTCTCTACTAAAAATACAAAAATTAGTCAGGCGTGGTCGCACATGTCTGTAATCCCAGCAACTCGGGAGGCTGAGGCAGGAGAATCGCTTGAACCCGGGAGGCAGAGGTTGCAGTGAGCTGAGATCACGTCACTGCATTCCAGCCTGGGCAACAGAGCGAGACTCCATCTCAAAAAAAAAAAAGAGAGAGAGAGACAGTGAATTAAGATTCCCTGACGCAGAGGTGGGCCCAGCCTGATGGAGAAGTGGCCCAGGTGTTGTAGATGAATACAGTTCTGCTGTCTATCCTGATTAAGATAACCAAGGTAATTATTCCCAAGCTGCCCCAGCATGTGGCTAGAATTCATATTTAACTTTGACCCAAGAGCTCCTTTTCCCCTTGCAGTCTTCCTCCCCCATCCCACAAACCTGGTACATGACCATTAAAATCTCAATAAGCAGAAGCTTAAGTAAGGGTAAATAATTTGCCAGCTGAACCTTCCCCTATTTGCAACCTTTTAGCATTAGCAAGTTCTTGACTTTTCATGAAAAAGCCCTGGTATGGCTAGTGCAAAAATCAGTTCAAATGGTAGAGGATGATAACTTTAAGCAGATAGGGACTTGGCCTGAGTGGGCTCTGTTTACTTCCTGCTGTCTGCCCTTTCTTCTATCGGCTCTGTCAAGGCACGTTTTTTGGGAACCCCATTACTGAGCAGACTGCCAAGTTGACCATCAGTGATCTAGCCTGGGAGCCAAGCCTAGGTTCATCTTGCAAGAAAAGTGGGGTGGGATTGTGGAGAAGGCCCCCTTCCCTGTGCCCACAGGAGAATTGGTGTGACCCTGAGTGCCCCAATATGCCTGGCTGGACATCTTGGGAGCACTGCGAAACAGGAGGTAAAGACCTTCACAAAGTATCTCCTCACAGACAGCCTCAGCTCAGTGGGGCCCCCAGTCAACGGAGAAGCCGTGACAGGCACAGCTGACTGGATGTGTGAACAAACAGATTAACAGTTGGCCCTGCATCAGGGATTTCCAAAGTAAAGAGACATCTAGGTCTTTCATAGATGTTTTGTTCAGTTGGTTGGTTGAGGGACACAGGTGACAAGTGTTGGGGCAAACTCTGGCTTTTCCTGGACTTAAGCAAGAAATTACCTTTTGGCACCTGGACACTGTTTTAAGTCTCTAGTTAAGAGATAAGGGGAAACCACTGTCTCACTCAAGAGAGAACGCTCTGCTTTAGAGGCCAGGCTAGATATGGAATTGGCCGGGATCTGTGGAGAGGACACCTGAGCAAGCATGGGCTAATGTCAAACCATAGCTTCCTAGAGAGGTTGGGTGGGGAAACCTGACTTTCAGTGGGGGAGAAAGTACCACTGCAAAGTCTTAAACTGAAACAGGTGTAAGCAAGTTGGTTCTGACCGCCCCTCATTTGGTTTAAGCTTACATCACAAGGAACAGGTGCTGTCAATAATGAATTCAGTTTTTCTCTTGAGCCCAGAAGCAGAGCGGGATGAAGCCATTAAGGTGATAGAACCCAGCCCTGACTAATAGGTATGAGGGGGAACAGAACTGGGGGGCAAGAGTTCTTCAGTGTAGGCGTCCTGAATCTCTATCGCTGACTCTGAGAAGTCCCAGGGGTCTGCTTTCTCTAAGAACAGTTCCATATTGGGTAATGACAAAAAACCAGAGTGAGATTAAAAATGGATTCTTTATATTGAGCGTTAATGATAAAAGCTCCAGGTGATAGCATTCTGTTCAATGTTATATAACTGTTAGAAATGGGGGTTAGTAGTTAGAAGTGAATTGTTAATTTAATAGATATGTTTTTATAGAAAAATGATACAAATAAGTATGTGAAGTACTGCTTTCTGGCCTAATCAATCACACCTGGAGGGGCCTAGCTGGCTGGCTGCTGTGTCCACCAGGTAGAAGCTTACCTAAATTGCTTGAAAGAAAATGTTCTGGCACTAGAATTGCCGTTTCAAAGCTTTACAGGGATGATAAACAACATACTGCTCTTCAGAGCACTATACCAATCTTGTTACTGTTGGCGAGAGAGAGCATCTAACACTCAATAAATGCTAGGCACTCCAGGCTGAATGCTAAAAAAAATGAACTGCTGCCTTTGTTTAGCACAGTGTCCCCGGTAGGGTGTGGAATTTCAAGTTCAGGAGTAGACAAGCATGAAGGGTTTTAGGGCCTTTGAACAGGTCAATGCCCCATTAGCTTTTTAATTTTCCATCCCACTTTCCTGGCTCCTGGGGCTCTATTTTTCTCTTTGATAATCTGTTTTCTCCAATAGGATTCCAAATTCCCTATTGGAAGTTGAGCCTCATATCCTCAAGGCCCATGATCCCTGAGCCAGGTATGAGTGCAGCTAATAGCTGATGGTGGTCCATTGATCTCCCTGTTGGCCCTGCATTTGCCTGTACTTCCCCCTTGCAGCTGATGGAGGATCCTGTGTGGAAGGGCTCCCTCACCCCGAGTGCAAATGGCTCCCTGTTTCAGAAAGGGTTGAGAGGGGACACGCACTTTCTCCTCTCCACTGGAAACCAGCTGAGCTGACACCTCCGAGCAGAAGTTCCTCTTTGTGTTCCTGCTGATGGGCTGTGCTCTCAGTTGATCATTGGTTTTTTCCATACCTTCTCCAGGTTCTCAGAGGTCACCATTTCTTTCCAGTTAGCCCCATTCTAGAAGAGATTTAGGGCTGGGAGAAAAGGAGAAACATGTGTTAGCCTCATTAGTATCTTTGGTGAAGTGTGAGGAGAAAAAGGTAGCCATGATTGCTAGAAAAATGAGACTGTTAAGGGAGAAAAGTGTGTCGATCTCTGTTATCACCCATCATTGCAGATGGCAAAAATCAGTTGTTCTCAGCAACATCACTGACTGCCCTGCAGACAACCTGGAACTGGAGGGTGTCCTTTGGGAGACAGGCAGGGCATGGTGTGGAAGGGCCTGTGTGAGTCACATGAGGACAGCCAAGGGTCTGACTGGACTCCCGGCCAGTCCTGCCACAGGCATTGCATGCAGCTGGTGCTTGAGTGGGTTCACCTGCCTACCTGAGGAGCACGACAGGGAAGGTGAGAACTGTCCTGAGCCTGTTGGGGGGATTGTTCATCTAGAAGAGACATGACTGGCATCCCCATTGGCAGAGCCAGGGCCAGGCTTAGAGCTGGCTTACATTTCCTCATTTTGTATTCTATTGAGCGCCAGAAATGAAGCAGAGAGGGCTGAACCCTGACACAGTGGGCCGGCCCAAGCCTGAGATTGAGGCCCAGAAAGGCCTAGGCTCAACAGACGCCAGCTCCAGACCCAGGGCCACCCTGCTCACCCATGGCTCACAGGGAGATGCAGATTGAACTCTTCGTTCCAGAGAGTGGCCACCTTGATTGGGAAGGGAAGCAGGGGCAGGGGAGGAGAGGGAAGTCACAGGGAGACTATGGGAACCACGGGAAACACGGCCATTCTGTCCTGAGGTCTGGGGGAGGGGCCTATGTCCGCGTTTCACCTACAGCACTTATGTCATTGTATTGGGAGGAGGTAGTTGAACCTCTCACCTTATTTATAGTCCTAGCGGGTATTGTGGGCACTCAGTAAATACACAGTGATGGGTGTGCGGACAGGTAATGAGTTCTGAGCCTTAGGCCCTAGTTCTTCCTGCTCTGCTGAGAGCACAAACCTGATAAAGCTTGAGAACCATGATCAGGTAAACTGTTCGAAATAGTCAGGAGAGTCCCATCTTCTCAATCCTTTTGTCCAGCTGTGGAGTAGGCCTTTTAGACAAACAACAGTGGCCTAAGAAGTTGGAATATAGAAGAGGATTCCTATGTATAAGAACCGCAGGAAATTATGAACTTCTGGAATTTCCTTGCTGAGAGGGCTGTGTGTTGTGGCTGTGGCATTTGGCTACTGCGTGTACGTCCTATTTCCTGTAATACAAGGCTTAGCTCATCACTAGCAGACTGACAAGCTAGTCTCAGAAGCAGGGCAACTGGGATTGTCAAATAGGTTTCCTTAGTATGCTCCATCCTGCTTACTGGTGAGAGGTTTAGGATAGTGTGTCTGAGCTGCTGTCTGCAGAGCAGAGTGTGCGAGTGGCTCTGCAGGTGCTGGAGCTCACAGAGAGACTGCCAGGATGTGCACCTAAGATTATATGTTTAGAGGTCTTCTTTTTGTTTGTTTGTTTTTGTTTTTTAGACGAAGTTTCACTCTTGTTGCCCAGGCTGGAGTGCAGTGGTGCAATCTTGGCTCACCACAACTTCCGCCTCCTGGGTTCAAGCGATTCTCCTGCCTCAGCCTCCCAAGTAGCTGGGATTACAGGTGCCTGCCACCACACCTGGCTACCTTTTTGTATTTTTAGTAGAGATGCTGTTTCACCATGTTGGCCAGGCTTGTCTCGAACTCCTGACCTCAAGTGATCTGCCCACCTTGGCCTCCCAAAGTGCTGGGATTACAGGCGTGAGCCACCACGCCTGGCCTGCTTAGAGGTCTTCTAACCCCAGAGAGGTCAGGACACTCCCTCAGGGCCTCACTGTTAGCAGACCCTGTCCCTGAAATGTTGTGGCCTTAAGTCAGTTTCTTCTCTGTAGGCCTTGGTTTTCTTATCTATAGACTGAGAAGGTGAGCCAGGGGCTCTCTGAGTTCTGTGATTATGTGCAATCTAGCAGCAGAGCCAGGACAGGACACCAGGACCTTTGAACTCCAGTCCACTCCCAGCTCTTCCGTGTGGCATCTCTAACAATGTGACCTTGTCACCAAGGGTCTGAAGCCTGGAATCAGAGACCTCAGTTCAAATCCAGTTGATAATAAGTAGCCGTTACTTATTAGCTTTGAGAACTTTGGCTACTATTACTCAACTTCTGAGTGCTTCCTTTATCTTTAAAATGAAAGTAATACAGTATGTATCTTATAGAATTACTTTGAAAATTACAGTAAACTTATATAAAGCCCTCAGTACAGTACCTAGTCCTCAATAAGCATTCAATAAATGGGTTGTTTGTATTAGTGACAATCGATATGTGGTTCAGTCACTGCACTTGTCTGGACCTTAGGTTTCCTTTCTGTAATTGGACCAGTGCTTCTCTGACTTAGCCATCCCTGAGGACAGTAGAGAAAGAGCATGTATTCTAGGGTTAGGGGCTTGGGGTGTAGCCTGTAGCAGCTTGCAGAAAGCCTGGCATTTCTTTGAACTCCTATTTATTTGTAAAATCTACTTACAGTTGGTATCCTATACAATGATCTGAATTTTTTGGTTGTAATATAAAAATGCTTCACCCAAATCTTTGAGTAAAGTTGATGTTCTAGGGTGAGGTAGCCTCAAATATCCCAAAGGGCATACAGCCACACCCCTCTGGGCTGGAGGTGGGATTGAAAGTAGTTTCAAAGGTCCCTTCCAGCTGTGAAATTCCAGGCACCTAGAGTAAGTGAGTCTCATCCTCAAAGGACCTAAGGTTGGTACCAAAGAATTCTAAAGGAACCTGAGAAGCGGGATCCCTGTGCCCTGCCCCTGGTGAGAATGGACAGGGCTGTGTGGAAGTGGAACTAGCAGAAACAGGGAGAGAGACAGCCCTCTGCAGTGAAGGGTGAAGGAGGCTGGAGGAAGAGCCGGGCTGTGTCTGGGCCTGACTGTCGGCCTTGAGCTGATGACCCTGGCAGGTTTGGCTTGGCAGCTCTCCATCTCCCCAGGTAATTTCCAGGAAGCACTAAGCCATTGTTTCTCATCCACAGCTGGAGGCTGTCTGGGGAGGAGCCCTCATATCTCAGGAGGGCAGTGAGGGCAGGGGGTGAACTGCATGTGGAAACATAGAGCTTGTCACACTGCCAAGGCCTCCTGGCCATTCTGATGCAGCACCTAAGGCTGGGGTCTGGGCTTGTGCCCAGCCAGTGGGAGGAGAGTTGAGGGAGTCTGGAGAAGGGCAGCAAGGTTTTGGAGAGAACACAGAGATTTCTGGCCTTTGAATGGGAACAATCTCTAACTACATTCTGGGAACCTCTCTGTGCATGGGGAAAGACTATCTGCTGATGGTGGTGTCAGCCTTGCACAAATTTGCCAGTATGCATGGTCTCTTCCTCAGGCATGAGGGATTCAAATGAAGTCACCCCGTTTGTTTAGGGCAAATGTAAGGGTTTTCCCTGGGCAAGGGATTGATGACTTAGTCAAATTCATACTCAGCAGATGTCATGACAATAAAAATCTAAGGGGATATCAATACATTCGTTACACTGGAAATTTCCTGTTGTGTAAGGTATTTGTTATAATAAGATTTAACATAGCTTTTTTTTTTTTGGTGGGGGGATGGAGTTTCACTCCATTGCCCAGGCTGGAGTGCAGTGGCACTGTCTCAGCCCACTGCAACCTCTGCCTCCCGGGTTCAAGAGATTCTCCTGCCTCAGCCTCCAGAGTAGCTGGGATTACAGGCGCCTGCCACCACACCCAGCTGACTTTTGTATTTTTGATAGAGAGGAGGTTTCACCATGTTGGCCAGGGTGGTCTTGAACTCCTGACCTCAGGTCATGCCCCCGCCTTGGCTTCTCAAAGTGCTGGGATTACAGGTGTGAGCCACCATGCCCAGCCATAAGATTTAACATATCTTGATAAACCCTTTCTAAGCATGTTGCCAAGTTGGATTTGAAGTTCAGAAGGACTGGATTCCAGTACTGCTTTATGAACTATATGACCTTAGGCAAGACTCACCTGGTCTTTGAGCTTCGGGTGTTCCATCCATAAAGTGGTGCTATAAAATATCTCAGTATGTTGGCCAGGCACGGTGGTTCACGCCTGTAATCCCAGCACTTTGGGAGGCCGAGGTGGGTGGATCACCTGAGGTCAGGAGTTCGAGACCAGCCTGGCCAACATGCTGAAACCCCATCTCTACTAAAAATACAAAAAAATTAGCCAGGTGTAGTGATGCGCACCTGTAATCCCAGCTACTCAGGAGGCTAAAGCAGGAGAATCACTTGAACCCAGGATGCGGAGGTTGCATTGAGCCGAGATCACGCCATTGTACTTCAGCCTGGGTGACAAGAGCAAGACTCCATCTCAAAAAATAAATAAATAAATAAATAATATCTTAGTATGTTGTGAAGTTGAAATGGGATATTGATTAGGAAAGTATTTCATCAGTTGTTAAATAAGTAGCTAAATGTTCATTTTAAGTAAAAACCCTTTTGGTAACATTAGCTAAGTATCACCATCCTCTAGGCCCTCCACAAGCTAGTCTCAATCAATGTAATGACTATTTTTCAACATTTCTCTTGACCCATCTCTTTACCAGATGAGTTTCCTTGCTCTTATATACAGGCACCACCATCTCCCTAGATCAGCTCTATACAGACGGCTCACCTGCTTAGATTACCATGGCCTGTTCTCTGTGCTTTGCCAGCTTCAGAGATCTCAACTCAGTCTTTGAAGATACAGTGGTCCACTCTGGACCCTAGTTTCCTCATCCATAAAATAAGGGAGCGGACTACATGATTTAGGTTCTCTTTCATCGCTGACATTCTGCAATCCAGCCATTTTTCAGTGTGCAAACAGTAACCTAGAATCTGAGAAGATGAGAGCAATGCATATTGTCCAACAATTATAAGTAATTGATTTAAAAAAGCACTTTAAAAGCATGAATTAAAAAATAAAATAAAAATAAAAGCATGAATTAATAATCTATTCCTTGTGATATATAGGGCAATGTTTGTAGCAATATTTAAATGAACTAAAACATTTAAGTGAAATGTGAAACCTGAGTCTTCATCATAACTGACTATTATCAAATTGTTACCATTTTTTGAGTGCTTGCTACATGCCAGACATGGTTAGAAATTACTTATTACAGTTACAATGTATTGAGTATTTTGAGTATCTACTTTCTGATAGCTGCTTAAAGCTGCTGCTAATCATACTACCCTGCAGATGTACAGATGGGGAAATTGAGGTTTAGAGAAGTTAAGTAAATCACCCACGGTCATCCAGCCACTGTGTGGCAGTAGCAGGGTTCAAGTCTAGGTGTGTGTAACAACAAAGCCTGTGACGTGATGGCTCCACCCAAGTCCTCTGTCTTGCAGTCACCACTGTGCTTCCTCTTAGGTTGTAAATCTGTTGTTACTACTCTCCTAGGACTGGTGGTTACCCCAGCTGTGTTTATGATACAGCTCTGGACTTGACCCTGAATTAGGAATTGGCCCTCTCTCTCTTTAGTTGAGGCAGCCAGCCTGAGAATTGTATGGGAAAAAAACCCTAGATTTTTATGGGAAAAACCTCCACCTAGATTTAGCACCTTCCCTCCTCTGGCGTGTTGGAGAAACCCAGTCTCGGCTCCCTCCTCACTTCCCTCCGTGTGCACCTGCCTTCTCCTGTCAGTGCTAACCAAGGATGGAAGTAAAACTAGAAATCCTTAATACCGTTTGCCAGGCTTTGGGCTTCAGCCACGGGAGGCAGATTGTGTTGATGGATGTAATTAGAAAACTGCAAACCTGCTTCTCAAATCCCAGGTCCTAAAGGAGTTGATAAACCAGGTTGGCTCATGTCTCATTCTCCTTTGCTGTGTCACACGGGGAAGGATTTGGAATAGAAGTATCCCCAGGCCTTTCAGTAATGGAAGCTCGAGTCAACCATGGATGCACCAGAGCCAAACGAGTGATGGCAACTGCCTTTGGCCCCAGGGGTCCAGCAGGAGCTGTGGACAGCTGGGGCTGGTGACAGTCTTCACTTGATAAGAGTCTGGGATCCTACTGGCAACCATGTCACCGCAGCCCCTCCTGTCAGCAGTGCTTCCTGCTCCCTCTTCCAAGCGGAAGACCTGTTCCAGCTGAATGGCTTAGGCTCACATGGAAAGGAGGACACACACAGAAGCGCCTTCCTTCTTCCCTCTCCTCCAATCAGTCAGGTGTTAGTTGAGTCACAGAGCTAATGTTTTCTCAGGGGAAACAGGCCATGGGACCTGGTGCCTCCCCTAAACTGCATAGAGAGGACCAGGGGCCACATTTAGAAGCCAGGCCTGGGCAGCTTCTCTCACAGTTCACTTGTGCCCATGCCCTCAGAATTGAGGGGTCTTCCTAGCAAAGTATCCTCTGGGCTTGTCCCTTAAGATCATCCCCACAGAACCAGCTCCCTGCAGAAAGCAGAGAGGCAGTGTGTATTTCAGGCCATTTTAGACAGAAGGCATGGGATCTACAGTCTGCAGGTAGAGAACCTGCTCACAGCCTGCTCCAGGGGAGTGTGTGATCTGCAGAATCATGAGGTGCATTTCCTTCCTGCACCTTCTTTTCTCAAGTGGGCTTTCCTAGGCTTCTCACAGACCACTGTTGGAGAGGAGGGGAGGGCAGGACAGACTCCTGCCACAGAGAGGTGACCCTTTTTACTCCCTCTCCTTTCTGGGTCTCCTCTCAGTCCTGTGACCCTACAGCACCAATAGCACACCCTACTGCCATGGGCTGCCCAAACCCACTTGCTAGCCCTCTCCCTGGCTTCCCTCCCTGCCCCCTGCAAGATTTCTGTTTCAAAATAACTCAAATTACCAAATGCTGGCAGAATTGAGGGAGTGGGAGGGAGAGGAAGAATGAAGTGATTGAAAGACAGGGAGTATATTCCATTTACCTTATGAGCAAATGATACTCCCCAACATCCTGCCCCATTAATTTTGCTGTTAATATCTGCCATTCTGCTAAGGGATTAAATGAGTTCTAAGTCACCTTAAGTACTTAGTCTAATGCCTGACAGTAAGTGCTAAATACATGGCAACTATTATTAGTTCTCTCTTTTTCTCCTTTTTCCCCTGGGATTTTCCCTTAGCTCTTCCAGCCCCAGCTCTTCTCTGGACAGACCTCATCCAATCAGAGGGCTCCACCTGGGAGCTGGCCAGAAGCAGAGGAGCTAGAATCACTGCACAGGTGTGGGTCGGGACTGACCCAGCCCTCAGAGTCTTCCTAGCCTGTGCCGCTGTCTCACAGGTGTGTCTCGAGGACCAGGTGTGCCTGCCTGATTTGCCTGCTTGGCGGGCAGCCCTGGGCAGGGAGCCCCAACAGAAGTCTTTTTGGTTGGATATAAGCTTTGCCTCCTCTCCTGGGGTCCTGCAGCAGCTCATCCCTGCCTGGGCTTGGATCCCCCTGCTGGAACCTTTCCTACTTGCGCACATGTCTTGTGGAGAGCTGGTGGCAGTCTTAGAGAAAGGTGCACTAGGACAGGAAATGCCCAGAGAGACCCTTCAGGCCGTGTAGAGAGGACCAGAGAAGGAAGGTGGCTTTCCTGAGATCACACAGCTGGTTTGGGTGGCAGCACCACAATAAGCATGAGAGTCACTGACTCTTCTGTGCTATCTCACCCTCCAGTGCCATCCGGATTTCTCCTGTGCACCTACTTTGAGCAAGGTTGCTTTTATTCTCTGAGCCTCTGACAGAAACTTTAAAATCATAAAAGCAGTAACACCATTAACGATAGCAGTCATCATAGATTCAGCTCCTATTCTGTGTGAGAGACTAGGCTGAGGTCGCTTTTTATGCACGTTGCTGACCCTCGTAACAATCTTGCAGCTACGAGGCTATTAGCAGTAGCCGCATTGTACAGCTGAATCAACTAAGATTTTGAGAGATTGTCAATTGCCTCAAGCCACCCTCCTAGGGATTGGAAGCCATGAGCTCGGTTCTTGTTCCCTGAGTCGATTTCCTGGGCTTCAGTGGGCTAAGGGTTGTGAGGCTGCCCCTACCTGAGTACTCACACCTCATCTCATAGGGTTTAAAACACAAGGCACAGTTCTGCTTGGCAGAATGGAGTGGGGGGCATGGTATTTGAGAAGGAGACAGTGGTGGTAGGAGTTCAATAAGTATACTTGATACCCCAAACTTAATCCTGAGGGGGTGAAACCTAAGAATGAAGTGAGTGAACTTTAGGATTATAGCTGGAGTGTGCATTCCGCTAATTTAGTTATAAGCAGGGCTCTGGTTCTGGCTTTAATTACTTTTGCATATGACTTGTATCGCAGAAAACTTCTCTCAGCCTGTTCCCATCAAATCCCAAATAAAGCAAGAATTCCAGCAGGAAGAAAACAACTCCAGGAGACCAGGCCTTGCTCCTTCACACTGTGCGTGAGGTTAGGTGTGTGGATTTGATTAGATCTGTGTGCCTGTGTCTGTGTGTGTGTTGTTGTTGTCGTTGTCCCCTTTTAAGAAAATTTAAAAATAACTTTCTGCCAAAGATGTGGGCACCAGGGTTGTGTTGCTGAGCAGAAATGCTCCTCCCACCCGTGGTCTGCTGCTCTGCTGATGTGGCCCAGCTGATGTGGGCAGCTTGTCTGCCTGCAGAAGCTCAGCCCCTCCTTTAATGTGTCTTCCAAGAGGAAAGGCCCAGGAAGCCATGGGGAGGGAGAGGCTGCCTGGTGGCTCAGGGAAGAACTCAGCTGTTGGGACAAGAGTGGGCTGGCTTTGCCTGCTTTCATGTGGGAACCCAGGGACCTGGATCCAAGTCACTCAAGGATGCCAGCAGGAAACCCTGAGATTGTACCCCGGGCAGGCTGTGATTGTGCCCATTTCACAGCTGGGAAGACTGAGAAACAAAGAGTAGAAAGGATGCAAATCAGAACTATCATGAGGTACCATCTGACATCAGTCAGAATGGCTTTTGTTTAAAAGTCCAAAATAACAAATGTTGGCAAGGCTGTGGAGAAAAAAAGAAAGACACTTATACATTATTACATGGTGAGAGTGTAAATTAGTCCAGCCACTGGGGCAGTTTGGAGATTCCTCAAAGAACTAGGAGTTGAACTACCGTTAGACCCAGCAATCTCATTACTGGGTATATAGTCAAAGAAAGATAAATCATTCTATCATAAGGACACATACATCTGTATGTTCTTCACAGTGCTATTCCCAATAGCAAAGACATGGAATCAAACTAGGTGCCTATCAATGGTGGAGCAGATAAAGAAAATGTGGCACATATACACCATAGACTATTATGCAGCCATAAAAAAGAATGAAATCATGTCCTTTGCAGCAACATGGGTATAGCTGGAGGCCATTATCCTAAGCAAACTAACACAGAAACAGAAAAACAAATACCACATGTTCTCACTTGTAAGTGGAAGCTAAACATGAGGTATACATGAACATAAAAACAGAACAATAGACACTCTAGGGATTGCTAGAGGAGGGAAAAGGGAGGGGAGCAAGGGCTGAAAAACTATCTGTTGGGTACTATGCTCCCTACCTGGGTGATGGGTTTAATCATACCCCAAGCCTCAGTATCATGTAATCTACCTTTGTAATAAACCTGCACATGTACTCCCTTACTCTAGAATAAAAGTTTTTTTTAAAGGGAAAATAAAGTAAAAGTTAAAAAATAAAGAAGACCACTTTTCCCTTTCTCCTTGTGTATTTTAAGAAGGACAGAAATGAGAGTAGATGGTAACAGAGAGAGTAGGGAGATAGGCTAATGTGGTGGTTCTCAAAATGTGCCCTGGATGTCCCTGAGACTCTTCCAGGGTCCCTTGAGGTCCAAGTTATTTTTGTAAGAAAACATCATTTACTTTATTTCACTCTCATTCTCTTTCAAGCGTACAGTGGAGTTTTCTAGTAGCTGTGATGTCACAATAGATTGGATGCAAAAGCAGATATGAAAATTTAGCTGTTTTCTACTAGCCAGACATTAATTTGCAAAAAGGAGCAACTCTTCTCATTAAATTCTTTTTTGTCTTAGAAAATATATTTTTCTCTTAAAATGTTATTTATGTTAGCCTATAATGGGCTTATTGATGTTTTAAAATGAATTAATATTTCCCAGTTTTAATTTCCAATACTGTAAATATTGACAGCAGTAACTCACAAACAAAAGCTCTCTGGGGGCCCTCAATAATTTTTAGAAGCATAATGGGGCCCACCCTGAGACAAAAATGTTTGAGAACTACTGGGAAAGCAGGTAGGGGGTCTCCTAGGTGTTAAAAGAATACCAGCTCTTCAAGAATCAGATATGAATCAAGGGAAAACTTAAATTCATGTCATTGCCGATTCGGATGTCCACAGTCTGCCCCAAGGTGTGAGTTGCATAGGATGTTCCTTTGGAACTATGAAAATACCTTCTCTTGCTGGAGGAAAAGGTCTGGACAGGGCATCACCTTGCTGCCTCATTTTAGAGGAGTGCTCCAAGGATCATTCCTGAAGCTCTCCAGGGCTCTGGACCAACGAGGCAAAGTCGTGCTCAACATGAACACAGTCTGTGGAGTCTGGGCCTCATCAGTGCAGTTCCTTATGAGAAACACAGCACAGGAGTTCTCCATCCATCTGCTTGCTGGGCTTGCATCCTGCTCTAGGGATCATAAACAGGGCTTCTTCAGCTTAGGGAAGAAAGAGCTGGGTCTCAGGAGGAAATATCTTATGATCCCTGGGTGGTAATCCCAGGCCAGATGTGCCAAGGGGTTGGAGTGGTGTTCCAGGCCAGATGTGGAATTGGGAGAGTGCCCAGCCCCTCCGAGGACTCAGCTCTCTGCTTGACAGGGTCCTCCCTTTGCTCCACACTCAGATTAGAATCTGCAGCTCTGAACAAGTAAAAATAAAAACCTGTGAGCTTCCACCCCTGGCTCCCCCAGGACTCCATTGAGAGCCTCTGCAGTGGCAGCCAGAGGTTTCAAAGGTCACCCCAGCTGGGCGGATTAGAACAACAGATCTCCCGGACCGGGTGAAGTTGGCTGCTCAGCGGAAGGCAAATTGCACCATCTGCGAGCAGAGTCAGAACAAAAGCCCCTTAACTTTTTCGGTCTGGCCCTGGGCTCTGTGGCGCCCGGCACTCCTTCGGTCTCCATTCTTGGCTGGACCTTGGACAGGAACCTCTGCAGTACGGTGGTGGTGAAGTGTGGCTGCCTCGCATCCTGACTCATGTGAGAGCTGCCGAGGAAGAAGCTGCGGTAAGGTGTGTCCCGTTCACTGGTGTGTGGTCCTGCCCAGCTTTGCTCCGGTAGGTCATAGCAAGTCAGCCTGGCACAGCCGAGGAGCAGCGCACTCCGGAATTAGGAGTGATTAGAGAACTTGTCAGGATTTGAGTGCATTGCAGAGAGGATTAAGGTGGGAGAGGGAGCTGTCAGTGCCTGGGGCATTTGCACGTGGGTGGTTTTGCTGCCTCTGATGTGTGCTGTTGTTGGAGGTAGGGTTCACGGTAGACTGCGGAGCCTGCTTGGGAGCCCCTCCCTCTAGGGAAGGTATGATATTTCCAAGATGCCCGGCAAACTGACCAGGTGCTTCAAGACAATGATCATTTAAAATGTATACACTTTGGGTAGGGAAGGGGATAACTGGTTTCTCTAAACTTGTTCTGTGGTATTACTTGAGCCCTGATTTTTTAAACTTTTTTTCTGAGTCATTTGCCTTATAGTTACAATCTCTTTTCGCTGTAGTTGAAAGTGTTCCTTTCTGGGTTCAAGAGACAATTTAAAGTGCTTTTGATCAAATTAAAGTCCAGTTAACTCAATGCTGCTTCAAATAGTTAATAAATTATGTTACTTGTGAAAGCCTCATTTAGAGGTGGGCGTTGGCCCAAGCATCAGGGGGTGAGGGGTGAGGGGTAAGGGGGGTAAGGGGGAGTTTCCAGCTCTTGAACCACTGCTCTTTTTGACCCTCTCCCCTGTTTTTTCTTCTTACTTCTCTGTGTTTCCCCTTTGATCTGTGTTTAGCTTGTATTGAATAAGACCCCCTAGCTGGGTGTGTTTGATTCTAGCCACTGAGCATTGCTCTGCATTAGAGAAATTATTGTAGAAATCACCCAACCTCTCTGGTTTTCTTGATTGGAATATAGTCCACAGGCTTGACAAGGGATTAGAGAGGAACGAGGTTTGGTCTAATTTACTTTATTATTAATTTTTTTTCTGATAGAGCATTCCACATATGTCAGTAACCATTAATTGTGTGGCAGAGATCTGTTTATGCTGATGATGGCAGTGGGTGGGGCGATGGGCTGAGGGTGAGCAGAGCTGTTTGGTGTGGCTGGGCTCTGGTCCTGTCCGCATGGTAGTTGAGTAACTCTCCCCCACAAAAGCACTTTGCAAGGGACTAGATGTTCCCTTGCTGTATTGATTTGCGTGTTCCTTTTCTAACCTGAAGCCAGACCTCTCCTAGGGATGGATGACTCCTGTCTAATGTGCTGTTGAGATCAAGCAGGTGCCTTTTGATGAGAACATCTGGGGCCTTCAGGAGATTTCCATGGGCCTCTGATTTTAGATCAAGAGGACTTGCACAGAGGGTCCTGAGCCACTCCTACCTTCCAGGAGGATCTCACCACTCCTAGCTTCCAGCTCCCCTGAAAGCAAAGGTAGAGAAGAGTCTTGTGTCTTCAAAGCCAGGCCTGACAGCAGAAGGGGGAGGCACATGCTCTGCCCCTCTTCCTCTGTACAACTCCCAACCCTCTGCCTATTGCATCTCTCATTACTGGGGATGGCAAGAAATACCTCATTTGAGATGTGGGGGCCTCCGAGAAGCCAGCAGATTTTGACTTTGTAATCAGACCTTGATTTGGTTTTCACTTTTTAGCTGTGTGACCTTAGACAAGAGTAGTTGGCTTTCTAAGCCTCTATGTCTTCATTTGTGAAGGGGTGATCATTAGAACTGCTCTTTCTGATTGAGATGGGTGCCCAGCATGATGTCAGCACGTACACCTTGCTTATTAAATGGTGCTGCTAGTACAGACACAAAGGTGCTGCGGGAAGCTGCCCATGGGCCTCAGGCCCTCCTCCCCACCTTCCCAGGGAATTCTGCCATCTGCTTCCTGCTACTGTTTTCCAGTCATCTCACTCATAGACCCTTGCCTGAAGATATCTGGGGCTTCTTGCTGTCTTTGGTGAAAGGGTCTATATCTATATTCAGGGTGGAGAGACGGGCATCCCTTTGGGAACTGGATGATAATGATGTTGACAGCCACTGCTATTGAATGCCTTTTATGCTATATTATGGGTGTTACATACACTCTCGTTCAAACCTTCCCTTCAACTTTATGAGGCTGATATGATCATTCCATTTGACAGAGAAAGAGACTGAAGCCAAGAGGGTTGGAGCACCTTGCCCAGCTCACAGCTGGAAAGTGGCCGTGTCCCCGGGTTTGTGGCAGGGTCACAAAAGTCTGATCCTCATGATACCTGTCCCCACCTTCATCCCAAGTCTCTACCCGGTCCTGGCTGCACAGTGTATCATCACTTCACCTCTGTGGCAGAGGAGGAGGGCACAGGGAGCAGTGTTCTTACTGGGGTGTGGTCCTGGGTAGCTATGTGGGATATCAGATGATGCCCATTCCTTCCGCAGCCCTGTGTTTCTACGGTCGCCACACAAACAACAACACACATGCCCCACTCATGTAACTGCTGCTGTATACCAAGTCTCTAGCTTGGCCCATGGTAGATATTTAGTAAATATATTTTAATTGAGTGAATGAATATATCTTGATGCTCGCCATTAAAATTGTAGTATGACTGCTTTTAAATGGTTCTACAAACATATACTATATGCTATAAATGCTATAGATGCTATAAATATGGCAAAATGTTAATTGTTAAATCTAGGTGATAGGTATTTGGGGTGCTCATTTTATCATTCAATTCTACTGTTCTGTATGTTTGAAATTTCCCGTAATAATTTTTTAAATTTAAAATTTCTATATCATCAAATTCTTATCATTATTTTCCCTGTAAATATGTACCCATAAAACCACCTGGTATTCCACTGTATTTGACCAGTTCTCACTGTTGGATTTTTTAAAATATAGTCTATCTTCTGTCCTAAATAATGCAAATAGTGTTCTTATAAATAAATTTTGGGCTGTATCTCTGATTCTTTCCCAATAATATATTTCTAAATGTAGGATTATTGGGAAAAGACATGGAAGTATTTTTTAGAATCTTTTTACCAAATTGCTTTCCAGAAAGACTACACCAGTTTTTATTCCCCACAGAGGGTATGAGCATGCCCATCTCATCATGGTCTCACCAGCAGTATATGTTATGTTTCTTTTTAAATGTCATTTAAATGAAATGTTTTGGTTCATTTTTAAAAAGTAACAGCTTATTCTTAATTTGCACTCTTGGATTATTGTCGGAGCCAAGAGTGTTCAGTGGTACATCCTCTGTGCATTGTTCAGGTCATATCATCCGTCCATTGATCTGTTGGGCTGCTTTCTTCTGATATGTAAAGACCTTTGTTTGGTGCAAACATTTTATTCCAGGTTATCACCCATCTTCTAATGTTGTTGATAGTATTACAGAATATTTTAATTTTATACATATGTGGTAGCGGCTCTCAACTTTTCCCCTTGTTATCCCAACTTTTACTTTTCCTTTCCCATCAGCCAATTTGACTGCTTACAGGAGGCAAGAGGGCCTAGTGGTTAAGAATAGCAGCTCTGGCGCCAGGTGCTTGGGTTCAAATGCCTGTTCTGCCCCCTACTAAATGCATGAACTTGGACAAATTTCTCAATCTCACTGTGCCTCAGGTGTCTAATCCACAAAATGGGGATACCAAGATTATCTGTCTCATAGTGTTGTTGTAAGGAGCAAATGAGCTATTTATTATTTATATTTATTATTTATAAAGGGCTTGGAAGAGTTCCCCACATCTAGTAAGTGCTACACAAGTGTTTGCTTTTATTGCTACCTACTGCAGGGAACCTGTGAGTCTTACCATTCAACAAGGAATTTTGTTTGCAAAGCTAATATCTTATCAGTGAAAGAGAAAGCTGGGTTTATCAAGCAGGGGATGTGCCCTATTACAAATGAGCCTAGTCCCTTTGCTGCTTTCACTTGAACTTCAAAAGAGATATCCCCATTTTATTTTTGTTAGAGATTATTAAATTTAAACAAACTAATTACATGTCCCAGAGAGCATTGTTCATTTGTGTCAGTTTACCTGACTCACAGCATAGGACTTAAGTATGTGACCAGACAGCCAAAGAAAATGAACAGAAAAGCAAATCTAGGAATATGGCTTCTCTTCAGTTCAGCAGATGTGTGCCCCACGTCTGGGCCAGTCATCAGGGATTTTGTGGTAAGAAATGATCGTCAGCCTGGATCTGTCCCCACCTGCACTTGGAACCTGGGACAGGGACACTTTGGGTGTATTCCAGGTGGTGGCAGTTGTTGTCCAATGGCCTTGACTGGAGTCCGACCACCTAGCTCTTCTCAACTGCAACGTTTTCCCAGCCTGGTTCTTCAGATTTTTCTATGGATTTTGGAAACTCCCCCTGAAACTCCACCATCTTTCCAACAAATCCTTTCTCTGTTTACAAGAGCCAGATTTAGCTTCTCTTGCTTTCAATCAAGAACTCAGATATGTACTTATAATAATTCCACTTTTGGAGTCATTTGTAAGGAAATCTTTAGGAATTCGGGCATAGATTTCAGTACACATAGACTCATCACCGGGCATCATAAAAGATTTAGAAACTATCCAAATGGCCAGCAGTAGGGAGATAGTTATGTAAGTCATACATCAATATGATGGATATTTGAAAATCAAATTTCTTAAAAGCAACTTTTCCCCCTTATTTTAAGAAAAGTTGTAGGGAAAAAATAGAAAACATTGTTTACATAGTATGCTTTCAACCATGTAAGATATGTGTTTTTCTATATTGATAAAAACAAAATTGGAGGGAAATGTACCACCATTCTGTATAATAGAATTATGGATATTTTCACTTAAAAAACTTTTATTTCAGGTTCACATTTTCACATTTTAAAAGAGCTCTGGAGCCTGCCTGGGTTTAACTTCCACTTCTGCCACTCAATAGCTGTGTAATGGGCAAGTTATTCCACCTGTCTGACCTCAGCTTCTTTATTTGCGAAATGATGACTATACATACTTCATGGGGTTGTTCTGAGGATTAAAACAAATGAGATAATATAAAAAGTGCTTGATACAGTGCCTGGAACAGAATGTATTCTCAATAAATGATAACTTATTATTTTTACATATTGGTAATTTTCAAGTTTTATGATGAAATGTATTTAAAATTAAGAATAATAAAATATCACAAAAGAGTTGACGATCGCTCTAATGAGTAGTCGTCTGTTACTTCTCATGTCAGCCCCTTGTTCTGCTACCCTTGCCAGCCCCAGTCACATCTTATCTAGTCCCCAGCAGGCCCTGGACCAGGAGTCAGGGCTTAAGGTGTTCTTGTCAGTGATACCATCATTTTGCTCTGTCTCCTGGGGCAAGTGACTTACCCTCTCTGGGCTTCAGTTATAAGCAGAGGCATTAGCCTGGGTAATCTGAAAACACCCCCCTTCTCTGATGATCTGTGATCTTGGAGCCTTGTTCACAATCTGGTCCTCAGAGGTGGGATGTCCCCCCATGCCTACCTCCTTCCCTTCATTCAGCCAAGACTCTCCCTTTACCTCACCCAGGGTCCTTGCCATATTAACCCCAAACTACCTTCCTCTCTTGGAGTATGGATCCCATTTTTCTATAGCCTGTGAGCTCTTGCAGTTCAGGCTAAAGCAGTTTCTACTTTCTGCCAGAAGTGCTTAATGTAGATGTTGGTCCTGAAGAGTTAGTGACTATTAAATACAGATTATAGATATCTATTATAAGAACTATTTCTCCATTCTTGTCCCCAGCTTCCCCTTTCCTAGAAGAAGGGGTCAGTGAAAAGATGGAAAGTTCCCCACAGGGTTTTGAGGAGGCAGGGCATCGCCCTGGGAACCGGAGTGTTTGTCTGGGATGGGCTCTGCCTTGTCCTGGCACTTTGTGTATAAAAGACAGAGCCTCTCATCTTCACAGAGGAGCTGTGGGTGGACACTGACCTAACTGGGGATCTGCTCCACGTAAAAGCCACACCTCCAGACTGGACACACCTGATGCCTGAAGGGAAGACAGGGCTGTGCTTTGTCTGATCTGACCTTGTCCTCTTCCTTCCTTTTTGCAGACCATGGGGGATGTGAAGCTGGTTGCCTCGTCACACATTTCCAAAACCTCCCTCAGTGTGGATCCCTCAAGAGTTGACTCCATGCCCCTGACAGAGGCCCCTGCTTTCATTTTGCCCCCTCGGAACCTCTGCATCAAAGAAGGAGCCACCGCCAAGTTCGAAGGGCGGGTAAGAAGTGTGGCTGGATGGGGAGGCTGTGGGGAAGGATGGGCAGGGGCCGCTGCTCCTTGTCAAGCCTTTTCCTGGGCCGGCTGGATCTAATAGAAGGCTCAATTTTCTTTTGGACCTTCATGTAAAACGAACCTGTGCCACTTTTCTCTTTCTTTTGTTTGTGATGGGCTTTGGTCTGTGCTGGAGAACTTGGGGGTGGGGAGGACGCTGCAAGTTGACCATCCTGTGATGTTTTGCTGTTAATGTAGGTTGTGTTCTGGGTACATGCTATATAATTACAGAAAAAGAAGACGCGGTCCGGTGGCAGGAAGAATACAGCTTGGGTTTATATATGTCCTCAAATCTGGACAGTTGAGAATTGACTGTAATTTTTCTCTTGCTTTTTCCGTGGAAGGAGAGTTTAGTTAGCCGACCTTCTTGTACATCCATTTGGTATACCCGGAGCAGTGATAGGACCTCTCATTTCACTTCTGTCACCTGTCATAAATGAATACTGGTCACTTGCCGTTACTGGGACTCCACTTCTTCTTCTACAAATAGGCATGATCATTCCTTGTCTACCTTGTACTCAAAGGAGAAGAGAACACTGAAGAATAGTTGTACTATGACTCAGCAGTCTAAGAGGGAGCTCCTGAAAGCTTGTAGGAGGGGGTCAGGTGGATGATTCTTTTTGCATGATGCCGGACCTTACCTTTGTGTAAGTGGCAGGTCTGGCTACGTGGTTGTCTGGAGAGTTTGCAGGGGTTGCTGCCTTGAAAATGGCCTGGGGCTGTACTGAATTGCATGCTGTGCATGGACCTGTGTAGTCAAGACTGTTTGCTAATGATTCTGACCTACTAGTCCTTTCATATCTCTTACCAGAAGATTGTTGGGGATGTTAGTGATGTTCCTGAGGAGTCTGTTTCTCTCTGGGCACTACCAGGATGAGGGCTGTCTTCTGTTGCCCTGACTCTGGTTCCCTCTGTCCTCTTATCCTCATAGCTAACAGGAGAGAAGCAACAGGAAGAATCGCTGGGGGCTCATAAATGACTTAGATGACTATAAAAAGGAATGAAGTACTGACTCATGCTATAACACGGATGAACCTTGACACATTATGCTAAGCGAAAGAAGCCAGACACAAAAAGCCACTGATTATAGGATTCTATTTATATGAAATGTCCAGAATAGGAATATCTATAGAGACAGAAAGTAGAAAGGTGGTCACCAGGGGCTGGGGGGAAGAGAGATGGGGAGTGGCTGCTGATAGGCACAGGATTTATTTGGGGCTGATGAAAATGTTCTGAAATTAGTACTGGTGGTTGTACAACTTTTCAATATACAGTAATTATAAAATACTGAATTATACACTTAGAAAACTAAAAAGTAAAAACATTTGAGAAACGGATCAGACAGCAAAATGGATCTTAACTGCACACACAGTCTCCTACCATACTGCTTCTGAGACATAAACTCCTTCCTCAAGTCAAACAAATATGGAGAGGAAGAGATGGCGGCCTCTATGTCATGTGATGATGCTTTTGCTTCCTTTGCTGACCTTGGTGTCATGAAAGAACCATGCCTTGAGTGACTCGATTTGGAACTTGCATCTGCTGAGCACTGGCCAGGAGCCAACACACTGGAGTTCTTTGTTGCTCAGTGTCCTCTGGTTGGCAAGCCATGCCTTCTATGTGGCTAAGGTTTCCTTCTCTGAGAAAAGACAACTGGCTGTTTCTGTATTTCTGGCCCACAGGGGTGGAAGAAGAAAAGTTGATAGATAGTAAAAGTACTTCATGAAGTTAGAAAGTATACTTTGGTAAGACAGTATTTTTCTTAAGGAGTTGAAATTTACATAACATAAATTTAACCATTTTAATGTGAACAATTTAGTCATTTAATTCAGTGTTGACTGCAGTATTCTTAAAATGTAGCTTTTTCTATGTGAAAATTTTATTTTTCTTATATGGATGAAATAGTTGACCTTGTATATTACATGTGGACTATATGTCAAAATGCATGTGTTCCTTATGAGTCAGACTGCAGCGCTACTTGACCACTTACCACCTGACTTGAATTAACCCAGAACAATGCCTTGGCAGCACACTGGTGTATACAGAAGAAAGACTATTCCAGAGAGACGTCGAAAGCATCCAGCTGTCTTGCAGAGACAAATGCAGAGGGAGAGACTGTAGAAGAAAATGCCCTGGAAGCTAGCATGCTGCAAGTGTGTATTGTTAGTGTAGGAAACAACACAGAGACTTTTGCATCAGGGAAGGGCCACATCACATGATCCCAGAAGAAGAGAGCTGGTTGTTCTGATACCAAAGACGAAGTTAAACAGGGGGTGTTTCTGACCTGGTGACCTCAAAGAAGTGAAAAGTTAGGTGGTGTTAGCCTGAGGTGGCATGGGTTTTGAGCAGGAGTTGCTGGTTATAATAAGCTCCAAACACTCAAAACTTGCAGTTCCCTATTGGGCATAGTCAGTGGTGATCTGCCTTCCAATGCATGTCAGCCTTCACTGTTGGGGCCACTTGACCTTGCCTGCAGCTGACCCCTCCCTCCAGGTCCTGGGACACACCCCTCCCTCCAGGTCCTGTTCTAGGTGCTCAATCGTCACGGAACCAGTCCTGGTATCACTCTCAGGATGGCCTCAGGAGCACATTTCTCTGGTAACTGAGCTCTTGCAGAACCTCTTATGAGTGACTAACTTAAAAAGTATGCCTTCAAGCAACTTCTTGGACCCAGGCTGGTCCCTGTCACAGCTGACAGGAATCTTCTTCCTGGCCTCTGCCCACAGCACCTCTGCCTGCTTTCCTCCGTGAAGTTGCGCCCACGGTGGAGGCAGTGGAGGGACCTAGGACTTCCCAGCTTCTTCTGAAAGAGGTTCAGGGACCGTCCCATCACTGAGAAGCAAAGTGGACACCACAGATGTGAGAAAGTTCTAAAGATTTATTTCCTACTGCCTTTGGAGCTGCCAATCAGAAGTTCTTCAAATGTGTGCTTTTGGTTTTTATTCTCGTAAGACGTTAAGAACTGTTGCCTACTCTGCCCCATTTCCTTTTTATGCCTGTTTTTAGACAAAGGACTTAATGAACCACTTCCTTCAATAAAGCTCCTCTTTCTATCTAGTGACTTGGGTGACATTAAGATGGGATAACAGGCACCCCCTGGGGGTTCAAGCCTCTTTCCAAGGAGCTCCAAACGACGAGATGCTCATCTCTGTGGGCTCAGTCCCTCACAGCCTTTAGGGCTTTTCCACCTTGTGGGAGATACATTGGGTAGCCAACACATAACCCATGACCAGGCCCCTTTGCCTTTGCCCTGTTCCATGATGGGGTCCACTGTAGAGGCTTCCGTTGCAGCTAAGGGTAGCCCAGTGACACATTTGGGCTGAAGTCAGATAGGGAGCTTCTGGAAAAGCCCTTGCTTTTCTGATTAAAGGAAGATAAAAAGACATCACTGGTGCTCTCATATTTCACCCTTCCGTTGCTTCCTGCCTTGAATACAGGTGTAATGCCTGGTGCTTGGGCAGCCAGATTAAAACCATGAGGCAACAAGCCTGCACGCTAAGGATTGTTTGGGGGCAGGGGGACAGCAGTGGAGAGAGTGAAAAGAACCAGCAGCTAAGAGACACAAATCCTAAAGCTCAAAGCCTGTCCCAGATACAATCTTTGCAGTGATTCACACAGGAAATGTTACCGAAAGTATTCCTAACTGATAAATAGCTCGCGAGATGCATGTGGAGATAGTGTCTCCTTAAATGAAGGGAATGAATAGGAGAGAAGACATTGCACAGGGATGGGGGTTCCTTATTCTGAGTTGATTGTGGTCCTGCAGTGAAATCATTCTCGAAGAATTCATTCACTCCCTGGCTGTGGCCATTAGGCTTGAACCAGCAGGGCCTAGGGTTTATGAGAGGAAGTCAACAACTACTATTTGATTAGCATCTACTGATTTGACCTAAGCCCCTTCCCTCCTCTCCCCTCTCCTTCCCATCTCTTCCCTTCCGTTCCTTCTTTTTTTTTTTTTTTTTTTGCTTTGCCAGCCCAAAGCTTGAGGAGACTATATTTTCAGGAATTAATACAACTTTATCTCATTTCCACCTTTAGACCCAGGCAACCAGATCCCTCTTCCCGTGCCCACAACCTAGAAGCCCCTGTTCCTTTATCCAGCTGTTCTCTCTCCATAGAGCAGCAGAGCAGGAGACCTGTCTGCCCAAGGGATACGCCCACCGGAGCCAAACCTCCCCCATGTGCTGGGCACCCAGGACCCAGGAATTTTTTACCAAATGGCCCTGAGCACACTTCTAACACCTGTGTAGGCCTCCTCCCATGAAAAGATGTTGCTAGGCCTGGGGGGGCGGGGTCAAAGGGCAGCTGTTTGCTTGGGAGGACAGTGAGGTAGATGAAAATTCAGACGCGCGCTCTGTGTTCTGCTCACGTGCCTAGTAGAACAGGATGTAAGTAGGGTGGGGCGAGAAGTGCACAGGACTGCGCCACTGTCTGGTGTTCACTGCTGGGCCTCAGGGGTGGCTGGGGGCTTCCATGTACAGACAGCCAGGGCTCCACGAATGCCAGGGGCTGGTGGAAACACCCCTAGCTGCTCTGTTGCCCATGCTGGTAGCTGAAGTGTTGATGGGCTGTTTTCCCCAGCAGAGTCAAGTATGAAAAGAGCAATGGTGGGAAAAATGCTGAAATTACTGGAGATTTCTTCCCTTCTACCCTGGAATTTATTCTTATCAGAAAAAAAAAGCAAACATGGTGACAAGCCCTGGCTGTGCTGTGACTCAGATGAGCTAATACTTTAGTGTCTCTTGAGAAGTACAGCCCAAATGAGGTTTCGGCTCACACTGCTGGCCTTAGCGTTTGCTGAGGTGGGCTTTGTGATAAAGAGCCAGCCCTGGCCCTGTCAAGGCATGTTTCTGTCTAAGCTGTGGAAGGTGGAGGAAGGGAACATGAGAATACTGAACCATGGAAGCATGAATAATTCCTCAGTTTCCACTTTATACAATAGTGTATCTGTCTCCCAATAACTTTCAACTCAGTTCACTTCCAGCTCAGAAGCAGTCAGCCACCATGTTTAGCACTTTAACAATGAGAACACATGGACACAGGAAGGGGAACATCACACTCTGGGGACTGTTGTGGGGTGGGGGGAGGGGAGAGGGATAGCATTAGGAGATATACCTAATGCTAAATGAATTAAATGGGTGCAGCACACCAGCATGGCACATGTATACATATGTAACTAACCTGCACATTGTGCACATGTACCCTAGAACTTAAAGTATAATTAAAAAAAAAAAGAAATAACAAATCAAAAAAAAAAAGAGAAATTTGAAAGAAATGTCTGGTTTGCTTTCTGTCCTCAGGAGTCTTAATGATGTGGTTCTGGAGAAGAATGTGCATATAGAAGAGCAAGATATGACAGTGTATAATTAGGTGCTTGAATTTCTTCAAGAAATAGTTTCTACTATAGGAATTGAGAGATTAAGATGAGGCTGGGAGTGGCTTGAAGACTGGTTTCCTGCTCTGATTTCTGCCCTTCCAGTTCATCCTTCCTTCTGCTACTTAAGTGATCTTCCTACCACGTGGATCTGACGGTGCCACCTCCTGCTTTATACGCTGGAACCTTGGATGGTTCCCCTTGCATGAAATTCTGCAGCACTGCTTAAAAGGCCGTTGATGACCAGCTCCTCACCCTCCAGCCTTGTCTCCTTTCCCTCCCTTCTTCCATCTGCTGTATTTTGGTGATGGTCCTGCTCCCTTGGCCCACACAGGCACAGTGCAAATCCTTTGCTCTAGCCCCAACTTTGTGGAGAAAGGGTAAACAAGAAGCATATTTTATCTCCCTATTGGTTTGGGGTTAGGAATGGGGTAGATATGATAGAAAGGGGACTAACATATTTGTTAATGGCTTATTGGTGCTAGGCTTACAATCTTAATCATTTTATCCTCCTGGCAAGGCAGCTTTTATCCTGATTTTTTGTAGGGTAAGAACCTGGGGGCTCCAAGGGATTATAACATTTACACCAGTAAGTGATGGAGCCAGTTTTAATAGACCTAAGTCTCATGTTCTTCCTGCCGCATGACACTGCCCCTTCACATGTCTCATCTGGTTCCTTGAACGCGATGACCGTTTCTTGTCCATCTTTGAATAAGATGAATGCCTGCCATATGATGAATGCTCAAGCAGTGTTTGGTGCCCCTGAGGAGAACCACGGTGGTGAAGTGTCTAAGACTCCCGGTGTCTTGCCATTCAAGCCCATAAGGATTTGGCCGTGTACTTCTTCTAGGGTCCTGTGTCTCTGTTACCCCATCAGCACTCCCTGCCTGGCTTCAGAGCCCTCATTCCGCACCAGCCACACCCCTGTGCACCTGCTTCCTGCTCCTCCACAGCCTGTGCCTATATCAAGAATGCCCTTCCTTCTTTCCATTCTACGCAGCCTCAGGATCTGATTTAAATTCTACCTCCTTCAGGCTACTTTCCTAATGCTTCCTTTTAAAGCATTTCATTAGAGTACAGAAGAGCCATGGTTATAGGATGTGGAAAATTCACAATAATCATATAAGATCATTCTTGACTAATAGCCACAGGAAAGAGTTGACTACTTTGGCCTTTTAAAAAGGTATTATTCACTAATAATCTCTGTGCCTATAACTATGTTACAAAGAAAAGCATGATTTAAATGCTAAACTATTTTTAAAACAAAAATTCAGACAAAGTTAAAAGTTATTTGCCTTAGCCCTCACTTCTACTCTATATAGGTGGCCACCATTAATAATGTTGAGTATCCTTTCAGAAATGATTTATACAAATATTAGCATATATCTGAATATCCTTGTATATACACAAATGGGCCATGTATACATAGTAACCTACAATTTGCTCTTTCTATTTTTTTGTGAGTTCATAGTAGGAAATATATATTTATGGGGTACATGAGATATTTTGATAAGGCACGCAATGTGAAATAAACACATTGTAGAGAATGGGGTATCCATCCCCTCAAGCATTTATCCTTTGAGTTACAAACAAGTCAATTACACTCTTTATTTTGAAAAATACAATTATTATTGACTATAGGTACCCTGTTGTGCTATCGAATAGTAGGTCTTATTTTTTCTTTTTTTTTTGTACCCATTAGCCATCCCCCCCTCCTCCCCCACCCCCACCCTCCCACTACCCTTCCCAGCCTCTGGTAACCATCTGCAACTTGCTCTTTTTACTGAATGTCTTTCGGTGTTTTTGTTTTCACACTAGCACACAGATCCACTTCACAGCTCTAATTCTGAACTTTCTAACCCTCAATTGTTCCCTTCTCTGAACGCCTATAATACTTTTATATATATATGAGACTCATTTTTACTCTTTATCAATTTTTTTTTTTTGAGATGGAGTCTTACTCTGTTGCCCCAAGCTGGAGTGCAGTGACACAATCGCGGTTCACTGCAACCTCCGCCTCCCAGGTTCGAGCGACACTCCTGCCTCAGCCTCCTGAGTAGCTGGGACTACAGGCGCGTGCCACCACACCCGGCTAATTTTTGTATTTTTAGTAGAGACAGGGTTTCACCATGTTGGCTAGGCTGGTCTCGAACTCCTGACCTCAGGTGATCCGCCCACCTCGGCCTCCCAAAGTGCTGGGATTACAGGCGTGAGCCACTGTGCCCGGCCTACTCTTTATCAGTTTTTTAATCAATTTATAATTTGATCCATTATTGTTTATCTTTTGCTTCTTCAATGAGAGTGAGCTGTTCAAGATACAGAATTGCATTGTCCAATAGGATACCTACCCACTAGTCACATGTGGCTACTTAAACTTAAATTAACATGAATTTAAATTAAATAAAATTGAAAATTCAGTTCCTCAGCCGCATCAGCCGCATCAGCACTATTTAAGTGCTGAATAGTCACATGGGGCTAATGGCTACCATATTGGACAGCACAGATTCTTGAACATTTCCATTATCATAGAATGTCCTTTCGGACAGGGCTGATTGAGAGCCTTCTCACACATAATTCAACTTCCCATACTGTATATCACTAACCCACAGCTAGAAGATAGACTGGAAATAGTTGTCCCATTCACAATAAAATGAAGGCATTACATTCTTGAGAATTAAGTGAATTCTCAAGATTCATTCAAAGAAAAATGTGATCTGTTGATGAGAGAATCTTTGTCCTTCATCTTCATTGTAGAATGCTAACCTTGATATCCCAGCAAGCTTGAATGTGCTCCCAAATTTTCCACAGGTGTCTATTCCACGTGGCTGGTAGCCCAGGTGTCACAGAGTTTCCAAAGTACTCAAAGGGAAAGCAGCAGTATGAGAAGTGGCAGGGCAAGTATTACTGAAAATTTACCATAGTCAACAGCTGGTGGTCACTTTGGGTTCAAAATGGTGGACTGAACAGATGTCTTAACTTCCCTTCCTGACAAATATGACATCGAAATAAACATGAAGCAGTCCAAAGAGAATGCATTCATAGCTGCGCTAAAAACGTGAGAGGGACATTAGTGGATGAGAGATTTTCTTGGCATTGCATTGAAGGACATATTAGCTCTGCCTGCAGAACAGTTAAGGGGTGAGGCTTCAGCCATATATTTGAGATTAAAGGATTTGGAGATTAGGAGTGGATGTAGGGCAGAAGTCGGGGTGATTAAAGGAAAGCCTATTTACTAAACATGTATATGGAGAGAATTGAAGCTCCTGCTGTAGATGTTAGTTTATAAGAAACAGGATGGAAGTGTGTTGGATGTGCCATCATCTGCCCACTTGCTCCATGACCAAGCCTGTGACTATGACCAAGTCCTCTATGTGAAGCCTGCTAATAGACATTCCCCATGTGGGGCTTGCAGTCCGCCCCCTCATTCAGGGAGATAGGACTACTCCCAAGAGGTAGAAAATCCACAGAAGCCACCTGCATTTGGAAACTAGTTCTTCAGCCACTGATGGTTAACAGTTAATTCATGGACACCAGATGTCTGAAAACAACATTTATACAATATAATATTGCTATAAGAAAATTGTTGTTTTTAAAAATCAATCCATAGACAAAAGTCAAAAGTGTTCATTATAGTTACAGTACAGAAAGTAAATCCTGTAAGTTTTGGCAAGCCGAAAGTAGAGGGATGGTGAATGGTAAGGTAGAGACAGAAAAACAGAGGAAGAGAAAAATATAGTGACACTAATGTCCCCATCTTACACAGTGGGAAGTAAAGAGATTCCACCTAAAATGGATGGATCAAATAACAGGTTTAAGTATGTGACTTAAAACCATAATGACAGAGGTAAAAAAAAAAAAAAAAAAAAAAAAAAAGAAAGTCAACCCATGAGCCGTATTTGGCACACAGACCTTTTGTGTTTGGCCAGTGGTGTTCTCAAAAAGTTTGAGCAAAGATTTGCAAATGGAAAATGTACATATATGATTCGTGTATAAGTGGCTTTTCTTTACAAATGAGAGCTGGCAATGTTTCCACATGGCCACACTGGCCCAGAGGGTGCCGTCACTGTGTCTGACATTAGTTTCCAGGTCGTTATAGTCCCCACCATTCCAAGGCATCTCCCAACACTAAGGACAAGTGCCTGTTGCCAGTGAGGACCTTGCTTTTCTCCTAGCCAAGTCTATATTCATAATGGGAAAGCAGGAAATGGACAGGAAGGGCCTCGTGACATTTCTTGTCCCAGCCCACATTCCCTACATGTGTTTCCTGCCCAGCCTCTGTAGGCATTGGAGTTAGTGATTATGCTATAAATGTCCAATAAAAGATCTAAAAATCAAGTCAAGGCCAGGAAGAGGGAGGCACCGTAAGCCAGAGAAATTTCTCATCACTCCTGTGGGACTCCACTAAGTGCTGTCTAAATTCTTAAATCAAGAAATAGACACAGAGCAAAATAAAAATAATTAAAAGAAAAAAAGATTATGTCAAGGGTTATAGCTGAGAAGTAATACTGTTGCACGGAGGGGAAAGATAAAGAAGGAAAGAAACCTTTAGCCATTTTATACCCTCAACTTTCACCTTTTACTTTGTACACATTCTTATTGCTTGAATTTTTTGTAAACAGTAGACAGGAATTACTTCTGTATATTTTTTAAAAGCACAATAAAAATGCCTGCAAGAAGACTCAGTACAGCTGTCTGAGTTCAATGTCCAGATTCTATTTGACAGATGGTCAAAGATGAATACACAGTTTACAGTGAAAGAAGTGTAGACAAAGTCCGGGCATGGAAAATATATAACACTGCATTTAAAAAATTACACAACTCTGCTGGCATTTAAACAAATGGAAATCAAAATACCTTAAAAGTATTTATGCACCTAAAAAACTAGCAAAATAAGATACCAAGAGCCCACTGCTGGGGCTGTGAGGAAACAGGTGAGGTTTTCCTTTGTTGGAAGTACTGATTATTGGTTCAGCCTCCTTGGGGCTTAGATTGGCAGAATGTTACAAGGGCAATAAAACTGTTGATGTGCCTTGCCAAGAATTCTGCTTTTGACACTATAACTTAACTCTTAAAGGAGAAGAAAAAATGTAGTTGCTACAAAGATGTCCAAAGCACTATTTTTAATAACAAAAAAGGAACTAGTTTGTACTCAAAAGGAGATAGATTATTATACAAACACATCAATGTGGCAAATATTACATAATCACCTATTTGTCATTGTGGTAGCTATATCCATAAATGAAAATGCGTGTGAATAACAAAGTAGGAAGAAAAGTAGAACAAACACTGTGCACACTCTGATCACAACCATAGAAAATCCATCAATGTGTTCACTACCTAAAATTAGAAGAGGATTTGGAACTGTATGAATAGAATTATTTTTTGTTGTAAGTTCTTTAAGTGTCTGTGTTTTTAAAATTTCTCAGTGATGGTTTACTTACTAGATGGCTGGCCCTGTCTAGATATGTCTGTCTCTCTACTAATAAGGCCTTAGGCTCCTATTGTTTTAACGTGTTTCCAATTATCTCGACTGTCTGCCTTGAAATGGAAACAAAGCTGAGTGGCAAAATGACCGATGAGAGATAAAGAGACCAGATTGGGGTTTTCTTCCTCTTAACTGTATACTCAAAGTGGTGTAGGGGATCTACACAGGCATGAGCGATAGCACTGAGGTCTGGTTCATTTGTTCACATAGATACAATTTCTGGAGAGCCCAGGATGTTCAGATTCCTTCTAATATCTATCTTCCTTCCAACTCTAAGTAAAGTTAATAAGTAAGACACTACTTTCATAAATAATGACCAATGTGAGTTGAGCCTCCTCTGTGCTCCAGACTCTGGAGATACAAAGAAAAATAAAACATGATTGCTGTCTTCAGTGATCTTGCAACTAATGAATTCTCAATATCAAAACAGAAAATTAAACTTTCCTTCCTCTATGAAGCCTTTTCTAGCTCTTCTACCTCATTGCATTTCTTTCCATTTCCATATTCCAAGAGGGTTGTATTCTGCACTCTACAATTTAGATTTTAATTAGATAATTAACGTAGTGTGTTGTGGAAAGAGCCCTGGACTGGGGTTCTAGTTCCCACATAGTTGCCTTAAACTTTCTACAAACCACTAAACCTTCCCGAGTCTCACATTCCTTCTTATAAAATCACGATTCAGATGATCCCTAAGACGCTTCAACATCTGAAATTCTGTGATGTGTCTGTTGTAGTGTGTGTTCTCTGTTTTACATGCCTAGTTTTTATAAAACACACCTCGGTGCCAGCTCCTGGTAGATGCCCAGTAAAAAGAGATTATTTATTCAGTCTGTAAGTTTTCTAAATATTAATCTCTTGTCTCCTTAATGTTCTGTTTTTATTTAAGAAAGATTTTGAGTGTTTAGATTTGATTCATTCAAGTAATGTTTATGAAGCACTTTACCATGAGCTGGCTACTGTGTAGGCTGTTTGTGGTTTGAGGAGGTGCTTGGGGAGGGCTGGCCATCATTTGTGAGGACTGTGGTGTTGAGATCTACACACATCAGGCTGAGAGTTGGACCAAATCATCTTGACCGTTGCTCCCATCTTCAACATTTTATTATTTTATTCAGTGCCTATTTGTATTGGAGTTGGTGTTGGAGTTTTCTTTGTGGTTTGTTCTGATCACATCTGATTTTTAATAGTATGCCATAGGTTTGTGTGGCATTTTACAGAACCCCTTCTAGTTTTGTTAGAGGGTAGAGAGTGCTAGTTACCCCCTCTCCCATTTGTCAGCACTTGGGGAAAGATATGCAGAATGAAATGGAGGGAAGTATGTGCATGGAGGGCCAGTGCCTCTAAGAGCACAGCACCCTCCAGGAGAGCTCGACTGAAGGATGAGGCCAGGCCTCTAGTGACCCCCTCAGGATTCCATTTGTCCAGCCACTGGAGGGCAGAGTTACTGGAGACTTGGTGGCCCAGTGCTCCCAGAGCTCCTCCCTCAGTCCCTTCCAGGCTTCATCTACTGTGAGGGTCTTCCCAACAATTGGCTTGGAGCACTTCCTCTCTGGCCAGAAGCCTCCAGTTGTTCTGACTGCAGACTCCTGGCCTGGCATTTGCCTTTCTCCACGATGTGGGGCTAGTTCCCCAGACCAGCACTCTTCCCAGTTGCCAGGCCCTACATTCCCTGAGCAGGTCCCGGGATTTGCCTCTTGGACTTCCATCATCCTTTCTAACTGGAGCCCGGACCCCTAATCTGTCATAGTGCTACCCTGCTTCTTCCAAATGTCACCTCTTCCAGGGAGCCCATCCCACTTTTCCTTGCCAGTTGTGGTCTCTTTCCTGCTGAATCACCCTGGGGCTTTCCTGTACTGTGTATCTTTGGCTTTATGTTCTGGTTATTTAAGTACTTGTCTCTAGAATGTGAGCCTCTAGACAATCTCTTATTCATCTTTGTGTTCTCTATAGCACCTAGGACAGTGCCCGGCCCGTGGTAGATATTCAGTCAGACTTGGTTAGGTGATGGCTGAGCAGGGATGGATTTAAATACTCTAGGGCACTGCAGTCAGCCCGTGATGCCAAAGTGCTGTCATTTGCAAACGTGTTTACTGGGCAGCTTGTCGGCTATCTTAAGGAGCTGCCTCTCTTAAGACCAACAGTGTGATCTGGAAGGAGGGCAGTTCTGGTATCATGTGCTTGGGTCTTTGTCTTTAATTCAGTCTGCCCTCTGGGCTGTAGTTTCCTCATCCTATAAAATGAGAGAGTTGAACCAGATGACTGTGATGCCCCTTCCTGTTCCAACATAACATGGTTTCATAAAAATACATTTATTTCTATTTTATTTTATTTTTTGAGACAGAATCTCGCTCTGTTGCCCAGGCTGGAGGACAGTGGCGCAATCTCGGCTCACTGCAACCTCTGCCCCCTGGGTTCAAGCAATTCTCCTGTCTCACCCTCCCAAGTAGCTGGGATTACAGGCACGTGCCACCATGCCGGGCTAATTTTTGTATTTTTAGTAGAGATGGGGTTTCACCACATTGGTCAGGCTGGTCTCAAACTCCTGACGTCAGGTGATCCACCCACCTAGGCCGCCCGAAGTGCTGGGATTACAGGCATGAGCCACCGCGCCCAACCATAAAAATAAATTTTAAACAAGATTTTGGAGTAGGGACCTGGTGGTTTTATGAGCATGCTTACCAGTTGACCCCACTGCTACGTGACAGGCTGACTTAAGTGACTAGTTTGCAGGTTCGTTCAGTAAACACTAATGGTATGCAGGATGTTTGTACTCATGCAATAAACAGATGACAGAGAAAACCAAGACACTGTCCCTGTATTCAAAGGTTTGACATCCTCAACTTGCTGAGGCTCTAAATCTGCACTTCCCACACCCTCTACATGCACATCAACCTTGAGTGCTGGCATGTCGTGTGGGAATGAGGAAGTGTGTTCTGATGTCACACATTGGACCTGATGTCTCCTTCAAATTAATCCCTGTCCCCTGCCTCTGCTGAAGAACTCTGAAATAAAGGCGGGTGGGAGATGGTGATGGTGAGAAGAGACTTATGTCCTGATAGTGATGGTGAGGATGAGCAATAGACTCACTTGTTCTTCTCTCATGTGGTGGCACGCTGAGTCCCTGAGCAACTCCTCTAAGAATTGCAGGTCCCTCTCAGCCACTCAGAAAACTCCAGCAGGGATTACGGCAGGACGAGGTGGGGGCAGGCAGAGCCTGTTGAGAGCTGGAGTTTAGATGGTGAGCACAGAGTCCCAAGCCTGGGAGGGAGGTTGTCTGTGGAGTGTGAAGAACTTGGCTCAACCCGGCCACCAAATGCTGGGAAGCCTGACAGGGGAGTGAAAAATGAGCCTGGAAGAGTTGGAGCCAGGAAGGCAAGGAAAATCAAATCAAATCTGGATCCTGACTTAAAAGGCATTAGGCTGAGGGGAGCCAGGCACCTGAACATACTTTCCACAGCCTGTCATGCTGGGCCTGCCTCATCCGTGTGCAAGGGGACGTTGGGCCCAGGGAGACTGGTTCCCAGGCCACCATCCCCCAGCCAGTCTGCTCAGGCGCAGGCACAACCCCATCAAATGCCATACTCTGTTGAGCTAGAGGACAGGAGAGCTGCTGTGGCTCAGTCCCGAAAGGAGTGGGGAAAGACTGTTTCTGGAGCAGACTGGCGCCAGTCAGTCCCCCACATGCACAGTGAACACTGGTACTGAATTAATGAATTATCTGAGACAAAGCTCTTTTGTCATAAACTCAAGTCATACCCAACCCCACCCCCACTCTTCATTTTTAGCTGCCAGGACATAGCTATTTGGGGTTTGAAGTGAAATTCTGGACACCTTAGTGCTGGAATCATTCGTGGAGGCACTTTGTCGAGAGTGGTTTCTCAAGGTGGGATCCTGCAGAAGCCACTGGGTGCCTGCAGGGTCCTACCCAGACCCACTGAGGTGAGACCAAGGAATCTGCCCTTGAACACACTGTCCCTAAACAGGTTCTTCTATGAGCCACTCAAGGGGCAGCTGTTAGTCTCCAGAGATGGAAACAAAGGTCACACCTGCAGGTTTCAGCCGCCCCTGGGCGAGCACATGGGAAGTGGCTGGGCAGTGGAGGAAGGGGTGACTGGGCTTCTGCGTCTTGCCTGATTTTACTTCTGAGGGTGGCGGGTCTGACAATCTCAGGCCCTGGGAAGGGGCTGTCTGTTGATGGGCTGCTCGAGCATATTGCTGACTTATAGATTGGTGATTTTTTTTTTTTTTTTTTTTTGAGGCAGAGTCTCACTCTGTTGCCCAGGCTGGGGTACAGTGGCGCAATCTTGGCTCACTGCAAGCTCCACCTCCCGGGTTCACGCCATTCTCCTGCCTCAGCCTCCTGAGTAGCTGGGACTACAGGCGCCTGCCACCACGCTCGGCTAATTTTTTGTATTTTGTTTAGTAGAGATGGGGATTGATGATTCTTATTATCACCATTATCTCCCCATTATCACCCTCCCGAGGAATCCCCTAGTGCAAATTTAATACCACAGTTATACTCTATACCATATATGTGTACTGGAGTATATCTGTGTGTATATGTAAAAAGAGTAAGACTTTTTGCCCCTTACTCCTGAGAACCAATTATCGCCCCCCCTTAGGGATGATATTACCCCCTTGAGAATGCATCATCATATAGATTAAATTTTATAATGCTTAGAATCTTCTTCTGGAGTAGAGGTGTGGAGTCAGAATAGAGAAGGGAAAATATGGGTAGGAAATAATAAACCTGGGGTAAGAATAGCATACAGAAATAAGCACTGTACAGTCTTGTATTATAGTTGTTAGAGATGGGCTGCAAATATGACTATTAGCTTTCTGGAAATCATTTTGTCTGTAAAAAATAAGCCCATTTGCTCAGGAGATGCAGTCAAAGGCCTAACTAGTGGGAACTCTGGAGATCACGTGTGGGTATATACACATGTCCCTGTGCATAAACAAGGAGCTGTCTGGATGCTAGAGGTGGCAGGAGATGCTTTTTGGGCAGTAGACTGGAGACCCCTGGCTCTGTCATTGTTCTGTGTTCTATCTCCCCTCCTACCCTGAACTCAGATCACCACTATCGTCTGCTCCACACCCTCAGCCCAGTTCCCAAGCTGGCTCAGGCCCCTTCTCACTGCTCTTCGCCTCATCTGCCTTGTGGCCCTCAGGTCTCTGTTCTACACTTGGTCATGCTTCCTGAACCTCCCCAAAGTTTCACAGGGGAAGAGAGGGTGAGCGCAAGACTCGAGCTGTGGCAGAGTGTGGGTATATACCTCAGGGTGGACCAGTTCACCTTGACCTCTTCTTCAGGGAGCAGTGGCCAGCCCCGTGCTTATAAACATGGGCTTGCCAGAGCTCAAATGATCAAAAAACATCAGGACAGGAAATCAAGAAACTCTGTGTTGTGGGGCCATGGAAAGAATAGAAAGCACAGATTTCGTAGCCAGGATATCTGAGTTTGAATTTGTTCTGCTTACATTCTCTAGGCCCCATAGCTGAGATGGGAATAATAATTCCTACTTCCCAGCATAGTTGGAGGGTTGATGCAATGGCAGATGTGCGCAAGCACATAGCAGTTGCCTAATAAAACAATGGGCATCATAGTACTATAGTAATACAGTCAGGATCACTGATCTGTCCACAGCACCACTCTAAATGGCTTACTTTGAGAATGTTTTAAAGTAAAAATGCAATATTCTACTTAAGAAAGCAGATAAGCAAAGGTAGAAAGAAGGCTAAAATTACCTATGGTTCTGCTTTGCTCTCGGTCTTTATTATTGTTTTGTTTAATCGTTCTGTCCTATAGTTATTTTCTAAGCTGGGGGTTTCTTTTGTTTTCAGCATAGGGATAACTACAGGATCTACAGGGGCATAGTGGCTTGTGGAAGCATCACAGGCCATGGGTCAGACTTGATTTTTAATTCAATCCCATCCTTTACCAACTGTGATCATGAGTAATTTGCCAACTCTCCAGGTCATGCTCCTATCTATAAAATGGGGATAATACTACCTATAATATGGCATTACTTAAGTGAAATATCTTTGCTGCATATGTAATATAAGTGCTCAGTAACTTTTAGTCATAACTAAAATTATTCATAGTGTTTTGTATCCTGCTTTTTTCAGCCAACATAGCATTTTTCAAATCACTCTGTCACCATAATTTTAATGGTGAATATTCCATTAAATCTGATATGCTACCATTTACTGAATCATTCCTCTGTTGGCAGTTATCTTGATGGTTTCCAACGTTTCCTTTTATAAATTAAATTTTCATCAACATCTTTATACATGAAGTTTTTAATTCCATATTTAATATTATTTCCTTGGGATTGATTAGTTGGCAGAAGAGAGGTGAATGGGACAAGGATTCGGGCATCTTTAAGCACAAGTACTTTCCAAGAGGCTTGTCTTCTTCAGCTTGCACTGTTATCAGTAAGGAAGAAGACATAGCACCAGTTTTCATGGCCCACCTGCTCCCTGATCTGTGAGATTCAAACTTGCCTTGTCACATCTGGGGCACCTCCCTCCACCAACTCCTTCCTGCCCCAGCTCGTAGCTTGGTTCCCTCCAAACCAAGAATCCTTCAGTAGACCTCAGTCTGTATCTGCCCTGCAGCTTGGCCTCTTGTCCTGCTGCCACACGGGGACCAGCAGGGCCTGCAGGTACCAAGCGGTCAGGAGGGTGGGAGGCAGGAAGCCAGAGAGTCCAGTGAGAGCTGAGACCGGTAATGGCGTCTGCTGGGGTGGCAGAGGGAGCGAGAACAGCAAGCAGACTCAGAGATCAGGCCTGTTCATCCTAGTCGTCAGAAAGATCAAGACAGCCTAGGGCTCAGGAGACCTCAGTGCCTACCATGATGCCTGACACACAGTAGGTGATTAAGAAGTGAAAACCAAAGGCTGGGCAGTGAGAGAGCCGTGAGTTTAAGGAGAACCATCTTCTTCCCAGAGGTTCACTGACTTTCACTGATAGAGGACCTCATTAAATTTCAAGCTAAGAGACTCTTCCAGCCACACAGGGTCGAATGTTGAACTACTTGGTACTTGTCATTCCCCTTTTTCTCTTTTCTTCTCTGCATATCATGGTCCTGGCCCACATAGTCATTAATTTTAATCATTCCATTGAACTCATATTCTTATTTAGAGTATATTTGTCAATTTGTCTTCACTGGGCTCCAGACTAGGAGCCTTTGGGTTGGATACTGTCTCCCCTAATAGAGAGTGAGCATCCTAAGGCAGGTGCCACATCTACTGTACTGACTCTAAAATAGGTGCACAACAAATACAGAGCTGGGTTCTAAGAGGCATGAAATGCTAAGACTCAGTTCTTGCTCACTAAGCATTAATGCAGCCTGATTGAAGTACTAAAATGTATGTGCATGCACACACTTTCCTGAACTTACATTTGTTTTGTGAGATCTGCCGATGCTGAGAGCCAGGTGAGGTACCCCATGCCTATAATCCCAGCACTTCAGGAGGCTGTTGGGGGAGGATTGCTTGAAGCCAGCAGTTCGAGACCACCAGCCTGGGCAGCAAAGCAAGACCCAGTCTCTACAAAAAATAGAAATAAAAAAAATTAGCTGGGCATGGTGGTATGCAACTGTAGTCCCAGCTACTGAGAGGCTAAGGTGGGAGGATCACTTGAGCCCGGGAGTTCAAGGCTGCAGTGAGCTATGATTACACTCCAACCTGGGTGACAGAGCAAAACCCCATCTCTAAAATTAAAAAAAAAAAAATTTACCATGTTGAATCTGTCTTTTCCATCTTCCCTATTAGAGTAGGCACTCATTGTGGGAGGAGACTAGATCCTTAACCTTCTTTGCATCCCCAGTGTCTAGCACAGTAACGGTGAAGGGTGCTCAACGAGCCTTTATCCAGCGCATAAACAAACACTAGTAGTGAACAAGACCCTATGCTCTATGGTCGGTATATTAATACAATAAAATGTGCAACAAAAAATATAGGAAAGAAGCATTCAGAAGACCTCATGAAGAAGGCCGGTTTCATTCTAGGCCTTTCTAGGAGTCATTAATTTATTCAATTACAAAATAAGGGTGTGGTGTTTAACAGTGCTCTTGAAGAATACTCCTAAGGGGACACTGGTGAAATATCTTGCCAAAAGACTAGGAAGCCTTGCCATAACTTTTTGATACTTGGAACTTTCTTGCCCGTGATTCTGTTTGACTCCCCTGAAAAGTAGTGAGCTATGGAGGAACAAGCCTGAATCTGGGGACCTTGTGTAAATTACTTATCTTCTTTGAGATTTTTTTTTCTTACCTATAAAATTAGTATGGTAACACTGACCTTACAGCGGTATTGGGAGGATTAACTGAAATGATTTGCATAATGTAGCCTGTACTTCCCGAGAATGAACGCCCAACCCCGTCCATGCTTGTACAGCAGGGGGAGGAGTAACTGCCTCCGGAGGACTGTGATGCAGTCTCCACTGACCCTGCAAAAGTATTGTAACCTCTGCCTGACCTGCTTGTAGGTTGCTTAGGAGGAGAGCTGAGAAGTGACAGGAAAAAGGTTTTGTATGCAGTTTATGAGTTAAGAGAATATTACTTAATTGTGGGTTTGATGGAAAACATTATGTGAGGTTGGTTCAGATCTTTCCAGAGGTCTGCCAGCAACCTCAGAAGTGGAGCCTTATTGAAAACAGCTGGGGAGAAGGTTGGCGCCCAGCCTCTCCTTGCTTTTCCATGCCCCAGAGCTGTCTCACTCAGTGGACTGAGCTCAGCCCCAGGACCCTGCCAAGGGCTCTGGCAGCCTCAGCTGGAGACAGGCAGTGGCTCTGCCCAGCTTGGGGCTCCATCTCAAAGATCAAAACCAGTTAAGCCAGGAGTTTGCCAGGCCACCAGTCAGTATTTCTTCCAGGTCTTGAAATTAGCCACTGACTTGAGTTCTTGCAGGATGAGTTAACCAGTGCAACGTTTTCGTGGCAGGGGTGTGGGCTGCCTACTGGATGTGTGATGGATGGGCTGTGTTGTCCTTTGAAGTCCTCCCAGCTGTCCTGCTGGGCACCAGCTAGAGAATGAGGATACTGTTCAAAGCACAGCCCTCCCATATGTCCATTCAGAAGCCTCACCCTCCTCTGCTACAGAGGCTTTTCTATCGGAAGGCTGCTAGCTTTGCTACAGCTGAAGCCCATTTGGTTTTATCCCAACTACTCACCAACCATGTCGATTTCAGCTGAATTTTCTTGAAGACAAATATGGCATGCCACTCCCTTATTCTTTCATTTCAAAGGGACATTTAGTCACTGCCAGTCTCTTGTTTTATTTACTTTCTAAAAATGTGCTCCTACTAAATTTGCATAATTTGAATTTCAGTAAGTAAAATTTTTAAATTTTTTTACTGTTCATGAAAGTAAAACGTGTTCCTTACTTTAAAAGTTTTGACATACAGAAAGTATAGAAAACAATCCCACCATCCAGTGATGACAGCTATTTACACATTAGTAGATTTCCTTTTTATTTCTTTTTTTTCTATTGTAACAAGGAGAAAGTAAATCGTTAAAAGTTACATTATGGATATTAAGTAACTGGTTTTATATGCTGCCTTTTTAGTTAATGCTTTCTCATATTCTTTAAAATTCTTCAAGATAAATCTTAATAGTTGTATAGTATTTTGGTCTTATTATTTCAAATAGACTATGTTTTTGATATGTTGATTTCTAATATTTAATCTTTTAAATAAACATAAACATCTTCATGGACATCTTTGATAATTCCTAAGAGATATTAGAAATAGAATTATTGAATCTTTTTAAGTCTTTGGATAGCTATTTCCAAATTGTTAAAAATAGCCTTATAAGGTCAACATTACTATGCCAATTTTATAGGAAAGAAAAATGAAGTTTAAATTACTACCCTTCCTTCAGCAATGTTTAAGAATTTAATTTTCTCACACTCATAAGCACTAGTTATCACTTTACCTATTAACACGTTTTTTAAATGAAACATATCACATTTTATTTTACGTTTGTTTGATTAATTTTAAACATTTTTATATGTTTGGCTACTTCAGAAACTTCTTGTTCATGTCCTTTACTTTTTTCCTTCTGTGTTCTTTTTATTTAGTCATGCAAACTTTTTATATCTTAAAAAGTTCACCTTTTTTACACATATATTTGAAATATTTTTAATTTGTTTACCTTTTAATTTTTATCCTAAGTTTACTTTTGTACAGAAATTTTAAATTTTAGTGTTCACATATCTTTATGCTTTCCACTATTAGTGTCATGCCTGGAATCTCTAAGATTATATCCACATTTCTTCTACCTTTTTTTACTTTTAACATTTTAATCAAAATGGATGTTTCTGTGTGTAATGTGAGGAAGGGATCTTGAATAGGATTTTTTTCAAGTTATCCACACTTACTGAATAATCTATTCTTTTCCCATTAGTTTGAGGCCACCTTTACTGTATACTAAAGTCTTATGTATAGAGTTTGTTTTAGCATTTTTCTGGACTATTTCATTAGTCAATATGTGAACCAAAATGGTTTTAATAATTGTTGCTTTTTAACATTCCATATCTAATCATATAATCCTACTGGTTACTTTTAATACAAGGACAAAGTATTTCTCTTTATATATCCAAGACTTCTCGTATGTTGTTTAGAAAGTTTTGAAACTTTAATTATATAGGATCTTCACATTTCTTAAATTTGTTCCTAGGTGAAGTGCATGTGCATACCTTTCCTAATCGTAATAGCTACTAGATATGGAAACAGTTTTAACTTTTGAGTAGGTTATAACTGGCTAAAGCCAATATCAGAGGTGTAGACGGTTCCCAAATTATGATAGTTCAGCTTTACATTTTCAACTTTATGCAAAAATGATACCCACTCATTAGAAACCACACTTCAAGTACCCCCACAACTATTGTTTTTCACTTTCAGTGCTCAATAAATTACATGAGATATTCAATGTTGTATTATATAATAGGCCTTGTGTTAGATGAATTTGCCAACTGTAAGCTAATGTAAGTGTTCTGAGCATGTTTAAGGGAGGCTAGGCTAAGCTATGATGTTTGATGGAGTCACTATGTTAAATGCATTTTCAATTTAGAAAATTTTCAACTTAGGATGAGCTTATTGGGATGTAACCCATCATAAATTAAGGAGCATCTGTATATGCATAGCCTTTAATGCTTTTATCATTGAACAAAAATTACTAAAAATTAGTGAGCCAATCATTCAACTCGCAAAATCAAAGACTAGAACAAGCCGAAGGAAAGCAGAAGCAAAACATTTATATAAAAGGAGAAATGATTGTATTACAAAGAGAAAAACAATATTTAGGAATAAACTTAAGGACTGGTCTTAGAAATAAGACATAGGCAAACCCTACTAGGCCATTCAAAGAAGGACAGAAAATATACCTAACATTTGGAAATGGGACTCTAACCACTGATCTGTAGTTGATAAAAATGAGATTTTCAGGGTAAACTCCGATTTGAAGATCTTGAAAGAAGTAGATGCTTTTCTAAGAAAATTAACTTAAAAAAAGTTGAAAACCTGAAAAGTTCAGTGGAAGAAACTGAAACAGTTGAAGAAATATATCCTGAGAAAGTTCTGGATCCACATAGTTTTATAGATGAGTTCATTAAAACCTTCAAGGAGTAGATCATTCCAAGCTCTGTATTTGTAGCACAAAGGTTATTTACAGTATGAAATGGAATATTTCTTTCATAGTCTCTCTCACCTTTATACATTCAGTTCTGTGAAATTCTTGGAAAACTAGGATTGGGGTTGTAAGGCATCTTAGAGGGTAGGAAGGCTTCTTTTGACAACATCCCAGCCAGATGGTTCTCCAGTCTTCTTATGAACATTCTGGGGACGGGGATCTACCGTGTCACAGTTGGTCCATTTGGTTGTTGAGGCATTGCTGGTCTTACTTATATGAACCTAAATCTGCCTCTGGAGAATTATGGACCGATTTATCCTTGGTCTGTCCTCTGGCACTACATAGCATGTAGACTTTTATACAAGAGCTCATCATACATTTGAAGACAGATATGCCCTCCTTTTGGTGTGTTTTACTCCAGGCTAAATAGACCAACTTCCATCAACTATACTTTATGTTCCTTCAATAAACATCTGTTGAGCACCTACCAGGTGCCAGCCGGGCACTGGGCATCACCCCCTCACACACCTTGAGCCGCTTCCTCAATATCCTATTAACACGTGGCACTTGTACCTGGACGCAGTCTGTCAGTGATGCCCATGTGGAATGGGACTGCCCACTCCCTGTGTGGACACCATGCTCTGTTAATATGGCTTAAGGTTAAATAATGTTTAAAAGACTCATGCTCGGCTCCTTTCAATGTTAGCTGCCCTTCCACACTAATTTTGTCTAGTTGATGATTTAGAACCTTCACAAGACTTATTCTCTCCTAATATATCTTGATTCGGACCTTTGTTTTATTTTATTTTGAGAAAGCATTTTGCTCTTATTGCCCAGGCTGGAATATAATGGCATGATCTCAGCTCACTGCAACCTCTGCCTCTGAGGTTCAAGTGATTCTCCTGCATCAGCCTCCCAAGTATCTGGGATTACAGGTGCCCGCCACCACGCCCAGCTAATTTTTTTTTTTTTTTTTTGTATTTTTAGTAGAGACAGGGTTTCACCATGTTGGTCAGCCTCGTCTCGAACTCCTGACCTCAGGTGATCCACCTGCTTCGGCCTCCAAAAGTGCTGGGATTACAGGCATGAGCCACTGCACCCGGCCTGACTTTGTTCTTTTAGAACATTGATTCTATCAGCCAATATGTATACTCCCAGGATTAATGCCAGCTTTAGTACTCGTGAGCAGCCTTGCAGTCCATTCAAGTAATAAATTCATAATAAATAATAATAAATTCAACGGAATAAAAATGTTCAACAAAAACAAAAGAGGAAGTCCTGGGACCTACCAGAGAGACCATGACATTAATTTAAAAATACTTATTGATCACCTACTATGTGCCAGTCATTGTGCTGGGAATTGGTAATTCACCAGTGAGCCAAAGCTTTGTAGCTCTTTCCACAGACAGTTACAGTCTAGTGCGATTAGACAGGCAGGAGTGACTGTGCACACAGATGAATTATAAGCCGTGATGAGGCCCACTGAAGGAAAACCCAGGGTGCAGTGAGAGCATAACAGCATGACTTAGTTTGGGAAATCAACAAAGGTGTCTCTGAAGTGACACCCAGGCTGGGATATAAAGATTGGAGAGGAGAGACATCAGTCAGCTAGCTACTCAGTGCTGCCAAAAGGAAGTGGCCATGCTGAGTGTGGAGACAAGTTCAGAATAGGTGTAATGCCTGTTTCCCTCTCATGAGTAAGTCACAGTCTTGCAGTAAGTTGTGCCAAATATACCTGGAATGAATAGAAACATAACCCGTGTTACTGGCATAAGGGCTGTCACCTCAGATTGTCATGAGCCATTCTGGTTTAAAATATTCTCATTTTTCCAGTAAAGTTATCCAAATATGCTTGGAGTTCCAGTATTTTGATGTTGAAACTTTTATAGCACCAACTCCTTCTTGCACCTGGAGGCTGCTCGTAAATCTCTCATCAGATAATGTATCCTGATTTTTTTAATGGAAAATATGGTCCTGTGCTTCGTGTAGGGCAGAGAGAAATGTGGAAGGTGATGTCATGGTGATTAGTTGTCTCAGATTGTCTGGGACAGGCCTGATTTTAAGTAGTCTGAACTGTGATCAGATCAACATGCACTCGTTTTTAAAATGTGACCACTGTAGATAATAGTGTAGATGCTGCAAGGAGGAAGCAGGGCAAGATCAGAGGCAGCCAGAGTAACGGGAGGCTCTCTAGAGGCAGAGCAAGTGGTCCTGGAGAAGCAGGCAGAGAGGGGGAGAGTGCACTTGCGTGGCCTTTTGGAATTGCTCCTCGCTTGGCTCTGCCAGCAGTGCATATTTCTAAGGCCCCTATCCTGTTCACCAGACAGTGTATGGTGAAGATGTTTCGAAAGGACACAATTAGGAGGAAAAATCTGATGTGTGACACATCCCATAGACAAATAGAAATAGAACTATGATTATCCCCTTTTGCGACAAGGAGGTAAGTGAAAATTGATTGTATCAGCATTTAGCCCTGGCTTTAGAATATTATTTTTCAGCCTTACAAACAAATACTACCTACTTAGAGGTGGATCTGGGTCCCCAGTACCTAATCTCTAGGTGTATTTAGAGAACTAGGCCCACTGTGGCCAAGGGCCAGGAGCAGCAGTGGCCTGAGCCCTGCATGGTGTTAGGGGTCTTTGCCTTAGAGAGGGGCTGGGTGGGTCATTCAGGTCAGGGCTGTCCTTACTGAATGGGTCTTCCCTTCAGGTGACATAGCTGAGCAGTCAGTGCTGAGAATTCTGACTCTGTCCTCACCTGCATTTGGTGGCAGTCCTTCCCAGGGGCAGAAGAAACAGCTGAGGGCCAGGGAAACATTGCTTTTTTCATTTCCCCCTGACCAGCAAAAGGAAGGGAAAAACACCAAGCTTGGAAAGGGGACCCTGACCCTGGACCCAGTTGTAAAGCTCTTAAGACAGAAAACGGCTTTGGAATAAGCACTGCTCTCATGCTTGCGTCCTGCAGCTGGGGGCAAAGGGCTCTCCAGGCATGCCTGCTTCTTTTGGGCTGCAGGTTGTCCTGGTTCCCCTCAGCTTCTAGGGCAACAGCCCTCCTGGACAGCAGTGTCAGCCGAGTGGTCACTGTGAGAAGCTGCTGCTGAGAGGCCAGGAGTTCGGTCAGCATTCCCAGAGCCTAGGGGCTCCTTCAGAAGCCAAGTGGTGATGGTAGGAGTCCAGGCTCCCTTAGGCTGAAGAGGACTCTCTAGAGTGTAACAAGTTTACAGACCCTTCCAATTCCTAACCCGAAGCTGGCCCTTTTAACAACACAAAATAAAGTCATCTTCTCAAGGGCCACCAGGCCTCTCTCAGCAGCCCACTCCCCTGAAGACACCCACAGGCATCATTCATCCTTAGCAAGTACTTCCTGTCACTTCCTGACACCCCCATGGGACTGACACCCACCCATCCTTACTTCTTCCCCACTCCTCAGACCTGGAGGTCACTATGGCTAACGTGCTTAGTGCAGCAAAGGCCTTAGGGCAGCTCTGGCACCAGCCATGCATTTGTTTTTGTTTTTGTTTTTGTTTTGAGACAGAGTCTCACCCTGTCACCCAGGCTGGAGTGCAGTGGCGCAATCTTGGCTCACTGCAACCTCCACCTCCCAGGTTCAAGTGATTCTCGTGCCTCAGCCACCTGAGTATCTGGGATTACAGGTGCAAGCCACCATGCTTGGCTAATTTTTGAATTTTTAGTACAGGCGGGGTTTCTTCATTTTGGACAGGCTGGTCTCGAACTCCTGATCTCAGGTGATCTGCCAACCTCGGCCTCCCAAAGTGCTGGAATTACAGGCATGAGCCACCACACCCAGCCTCATGCATTTGTTTTTAACAGACGAAGAATGAGTTGCGCTGCGCCTGAAATTCTCTGAGCTGGGTGGTCTGAGCAGTTGTCTGTACTGAGACCAAGCCCTACCTGCAGGCTTCTCAACCCACTGCTTTTGTCTAACAGTGGCTCAGCTGGGCCCCAGCCCCCGCCAATTCTTCCTCCCCGAGGATCACAGACTTGAAAGGGACACTGGCGGGAGGAGGAAAGGAAAGTTTGAGTTTTGTTTTTTACTACGTAACTGGGCAGCTTTTCCCTCCATTTTTCCAGATGCTTCTTTAGAAAAGAGATTTCAGTGGCATGGACTGGGAAGTCTAATTCTGCTTTAAATGTGTGTTTTGAACCAGGACTCTGACCCCTTTGGTGCTCCCCAGCCCCCAAACAGGCCACCAACAAATACCCAGAGAACAACCGCAGGCAAGGTTTGCTCACAATGGGTCCTGATTGGAGGGTTGTTGGTATGTGTTTCTTTTCTTTTCTGCAACCCCTGGGCCATTGCCCTAAAATTCCTGAGCAATAGCTTGTGAGAGGGCTGTGCCCTGTGGAACTAAGTTGGCAAGAGCCAATAGATCAGGCGGAAGTGGCTGAGGAGAGCTACTCTGGTTCAGCAAGAGCTGTTTATGTGCTGGCACGACCTGGAATCTGCCTCGGCTCACAACCTGGGGTCTCCGAGGACCCCTCCTAAGGCGGGCAGGGCTGTTGGGAGCTATCTCGCTTCTAGTGCAAACTGGGTTCACCCTTTCCCTACAAACCCTTGGGCGCCAGCCCCAGCCCTGTAAGTCACCCCTACTGCTGCTCCCCTGGGGCAGATGCTATATTAAGAGGTGGTCCTCCCTTCTTGCTCAACTCACAGCAACACCTCTGTGGAGCCCTCACCCTCCTCCGTGCTCCCATGGTCCTCAGCACACACCTCTTACACAGCCCTGACTGCATGTGCTGTGGGCCTCGAGGCTGCGAGCCACTTCTGGGCGGCCTGGAGCCTGTGTGGTCACGAGGCAGAGAAGGGGGAATGAGGGTGGAGAGAAATAGGCAGGCCAGGTCTTATTCATAGCACAATGAGAACTCATTGGAAATTTTCAAAACAGAGAGTGGCTTTGGTCTGATTTATTTATTATAAGGCAGTGTAACATTTGGCAAAGGGATAAACATATAGCTAATTGAAACAGAACAGAGAGTTCTGAAATAGATTTTTATATATTGGCTCATTGACTTTTTTATTGTGGTAAATACACATGAAATGAAATTTACCACTTTAACCATTTTTAAGTGGACAGTTCAGCGGCACTAAGTACATTCACATTGTTGCACAACCATCACCACCATTTATCTCTGGAACCTTTTCACCTTGTAAAACTGAAAGTTCCCACCCATTAAACAATAACTTCTTACTTCCTTTCCCTCTAGCCCCTGGCAACCACCATTCTACTTTCTGTCTCTATGAATTTTACTACTCTAGGTACCTCACATAAGTGGAATTATAATGTATTTGTGACCGTCTTACTTTACTTAGCATAATGTCTTCAAGGTTCACCAGTGTAGCATATGTCAGCATTTCCTTCCTTTTTAAATTTTTCCCTATGTAATGCCAAACCACAGAACCTTCCTTTTTAAGGCTGAATAATATCCCATTGTACACATATATCATATTTTGCTTGTCCATTTATCTGTTGATGCACATTTGGGTTGCTTCCACTATCTGGATGTTGTGAATAATGCTGTCATGAATGTGGGTGTACAAATTCCTTTTTTCTTTTGTTTTTTTTCCTTTCTTTTTTTTTTTTTGAGGTGGAATCTCACTCTGTTACCCAGGCTAGAGTGCAATGGCGCAATCTCGGCTCATTGCAATCTCTGTCTCCTGGATTCAAACAATTCTCCTGCCTCTGCCTCCCAAGTAGCTGGGATTACAGGCATGCGCCACCACCCCCGGCTAATTTTTGAATTTTTAGTAGAGACGGGGTTTCACCATGTTGGCCAGGCTGGTCTCGAACCCCTGACCTCAGGTGATCCACCTGCCTCAGCCTCCCAAAGTGCTGGATTACAGGTGTGAGCCACGACACCCAACCTGGGTGTACAAATTTCTTTTCAAGTCCCTGCTTTCAATTATTTTAAGTATATGCTCAGAAGTGGAATTGCTGGATCATATGATAATGGAACTTTAATTTTTTGAAGAACTCTGCCATTTTACATTTCCACCAGCAGTGTGCGACGGTTCCAATTTCTCCACGTCTTTGCCCATACTTGTTATTTTCTATTGCTTTTTTTAAAAATAATGGTGTCCTTAAAATGAGTTTTTAAAGAAAGAAAATGAAAACTTATAAACCTATGAGGACAGAAAGAATGAGGAGAGACAACAGCAAATGAGAGATGTCAACAAACTCGTGGATGATGGCATGTGAATAGATGGTTGGCTGAGTTGGGTTTCAGTCTTCTGACGCGCTATGCCTGTGGTTAGGAGAGTAGGCAATGATGAAGCAATTGGAAGATGACATACTTCCAGAGCCTGGGTTGCGAAGTGAAGCTGAAAACTGGAAGATGAAAGATCTGATAAGGAGCAGTGAGGCCCCGGTTCCCCGCTGTAGTCCATGCCCCAGACCCCTCTCCTCCTGTACACCCAAGGAGACTGAAAGCTCCTCCGTGGAGAGGCCAAAGCTGACCAGCTGTCACGTCCTAGACATGAGGTACAGCTGCAGGCAGGGCAAAGCGTTGTACTCAAAAGGGAGAGGGGCCGAGTGAAAGTCAGCATGTGGAAAATAACCAACTTACCTTCCCACCCTGCGATGGTCTTCCCTCACTCAGTGTACTAAATGCTGGTAGACAGACTTCGTTGCTGTACCCACCCTCCACCCCACACCACCAAAGCAGCAACTAGGAAGATGCCTTTTTATGGAAACTGATTATCTCAAGGGAGAAGATCTGCAGATATTGATGTTGATGTTTTAATTTCAATCCCTCTACCATGAGGTCTGACACATTGACAGGTCCCATCTGTGCACCTGGAACTTTGTATTTCCTCACTTACATACAGGAAAAATCAGTAAAGGATCATCAGATGTCCAAGGGAATCCTCTGTTATGGAACAGACATAAAGAACCGAACAAGGAACCAAGTAGAAACAGAAGACTGCAGGAAACAGAACTTCAAAGAAGTTTCTCTCACCTCAGAGATAAGATGTTATGTCTATTAAGCAAGAAGAGAAGACAATTCAAAACAATTTTGAGAAACTGAAAAAGGGTTTTTTGAAGTTAATGATAGCCAAAATAATAAATTCAATATACTAGTTGGAAAATAAAGTCAAAGAAATCTCCCAGAGAGAATAAAAAGACTGAGGTAGAAAAAGTGTGAAAAGAAATGTAGGTCAGTCTAATAGGGCTCATGTCCAGTTCATGGGAGTTCCATGAAGAGAACATTGAGGAAAACAGTAGAGAGAGAATTCTCAAAACACAAACATTCCTCAAAACTGAAAGACATGCATTGCCAGTAATGAAAATATCTACCAACGGTCTGACGGACAGTGAACAAAGACCCACACCAAGTCAGGTCATCATGAAATTCTAGAATATCAGAATGAAAAGAAGATTCTAAAAGTTTGAAAGGAAAACACACACACAACCCCACACACATAATAGTTCACAGATGATGGATCAGGGAGTCCGTGTGGCATTATGCCTCTCAAACAGCAACACTGGATGCCAGAATTGCCTTCAAATGCCACGAAGCAGTATCTTCAGAGTTCTGAAGAAAAAAAAAGGTTTCCACTTAAAATTCCATCTCCAGACAAAATGTCAATTGAGTATAAAGGTAGAATGTGGATACTTTTGGAAATGCCAGATCTAAAAATTTTAACTTTCCATGCATTCATTCTTAGAAAACTATTGGAATGGTATTCTATCAAAACGGTGGCATAGAATGAGAAATTTCCAAGAGGATGGTGAGGGAATGTCCCAGGACCACTATGCATCAAGCCCAGAAAACATCCAGTTTAGATTAGAGGAGGATGACAAAATGTTCCGGGAGGGTTATCTCTAAAGGAGAAAAAAATAACAGCAACTGATGAGTTATCTGATGCATTTGACCATTACTGAGAAGAATGTATGGTTCTCTTAAGAAGTTGGAGTCCTTAAAAAACTAAGGATATCAAAGTAAAGCAGTTATTAACTCCAGGAAAAATAAAAAGTTCAAGATATTTATTGTAATATACTATGTGGCATGGCAGTGAGCAAAGTTAGAATGTAGTGAAGACCACAATTTTTGTCATGTCGATGTGTAATGTCATTTTGTGGGGGTAAGGGATGGATTTATGTGGGGGCAGATTTGAGAGCTTAAAGTTTACATTCCATACAGAGAACTTAAGAGATTGTCTTAGTCCATTTAAAGTTTGTGCTGCTATAACAAAATACCACAGACCGAGTAATTTATAAACAATAGGAATTCATTTCTTACAGCCCTAGAAGCTGAGAAGTCTAAGATCAATGCACCACTTGGTGAGGGCCAGTCTTTCTGTTTCCAAGAGAGCACCTTGTTGCTGCATCCTCCAAAGGGGATGAATGCTATGTCATCTCATGGTGGAAGGCCGAAGGGCAAAAAGGGGCAAACTACCTCCGTCAAGCCCTTTTCTAAGGGCACTTAACCCCTTCATGAAGGCTCTGCCCTCGTGAGCCACACCTGAGCCACACCTTCTAATGCTGTAGCATTGATGATTAAGTTTCAACATGAACTTTAGAGGGGACAAAAACACTCAAACCATAGCAGAGATAATGCATAAAATTAAAAAGAATAAAGTAGGCCAGGTGCAGTGGCTCACACCTGTAATCCCAGCAACTTTGGGAGGTCAAGGTGGGTGGATTGCTTGAGCCCAGGAAATTGAGACCAGCCTGGGCAACATGGTGAAACCCCATCTTTACCAAAAATATGAAAAATTAGCCAGGCATGGTGGCATGTGCCTGTGGTCCCAGCTACTTGGGAGGCTCTGGGTGGGAGGATCGCTTGAGCATGGGAGGTAGAGGTTGCAGTGAGCCAAGATCTGCCACTGCACTTCAGCCTAGGTAACAAAGTGAGACCCCATCTCAAAAAAAGAAAAAAAAAAGAATATTAGTTGTGTAAGACTATTGTTTAGGAATAATGGAAGAAATATCAGAAGAAATGACTAAAAGCATTGAAGGTGATTGCCCTCAAGGAAGTGGAAATGGGAGTGGGAGGGCGGCCTGCTTTCTTATGACTTATAGTACCAATTCACATTTTAACCAGGTACGGGTGTTTTGGTGAGGATAAAAATATATATATTTTTTGAGGCGGAGTTTCGCTCTTGTTGCCCACGCTGGTGTGCAATGGCATGATCTCGGCTCACTGCAACCTCCATCTCCTGGATTCAAGTGATTCTCCTGCCTCAGGCTCCCGAGTAGCTGGGATTACAGGTGCCCGCCACCATGCCCAGCTGATTTTTTGTATTTTTAGTAGAGACGAGGTTTCACCATGTTGGCCAGGCTAGTCTCAAATTCCTGACCTCAGGCGATCCACCTGCCTCGGCCTCCCAAAATGCTGGGATTACAGGCGTGAGCTACTGCGTCTGGCCGAGAATAAAAATATTTTAATAAAGATCTGGGTTTTTTTAGCCTAATGGCCAGTCAGACACTGACATTGCTTGAGAAACAACTTTTGATTCCTTCTCTGACATGATTCTCTATGCAAATCATGATGCCTTTGGGCAGCTTGGGACATGGGGCAGACATTCAAGCATAAAGGGACATTTTCATGAGGCTGCTGTCTGCCACTTGTGCCAGGTATTTTCCAGCAGAGTCAAAGAGATGCTCTCCTGGCCACATGGATACAGGTGGCATAAAAGATCCTGCTTTCATAGCCCCACCTGCTCCACTCCGTCCCTCAGAGCCGCCACCTGGGAGAGTGAGCAGAATGCATGCTTTGTGTGGTGGATTCTGACCCAACGTGGAGCAGGTGTTGGGTCACAGAGACAGGCTGCAGAGATCAGAAATTCTGAAACAAAGCCAAGGAAGCCAAGTCATGATGTTCTCAGGGTGTTGAGACCCTCAGGTCACTTTTGCCCACCCTTGCTTTTAAACAGAAATTGTCAGAGAATAAGACAGAACAATCTGTGGCCAGTGTCTGAGTCTTGGGCAGCAGGCTCTGCTGATGGAGGGGTTATAGTCTCTGTGTTGTTTGGGGAGCAGCCCTCCACTCCATTCCTACTGCCAGTGAAGTATGTCTCTCCCTCTCTCCAGGTCCAATCATGACTGGCTAAAAACTCCAGATTTATTATCCAGATTTATTTCCTGACACTCACCCATCCTTCTTGAAATTCCAGGGCTGCATTAGTCAGTGAGGCAGAAATCCAGGGGATGGTCTCTGTCTCCAAGGCTCAAATGGTATTTTGGGAGTGGAATAATGGCACAGTAAAACTGCAGACTGGATATTTGTTTTAAAATGTGTTTTTTAATAATACATAAAAACAAGGATCACTTTTCAAATTGGGTTTCGGTCTTTAAATAAAAATAATAAGCCAATTCAACCAGAGCAGAATGTTCTCAGTTAAAGGGTTAGATTTTTACCTAGTTAAGAGTGTGATGCCTTGAAGTTGTCTATAAGAATGAAAGTTGTGTAAGATGAGGCATACCAAGCCCATAAGTTTATATGTTCTGATATTTCTTAGGGCAGAAGTAGTTTCATGCCATTAACAGAGCTGGGAGTGAAATGGAGTTTAGGGTACCTCATTATAAAAAAAAAATTGTTGACTTTGAAGAAAAGAAGAGAGGAAAAGTCTAACCTTTAGAATCTATTAATGTGGTATTGTACATGTGCTATCTCAGTTAATTATAAACTTCTCAGCCAGGCGTGGTGGCTCATGCCTGTAATCCCAGCACTTTGGGAGGCCGAGGCAGATGGATCACCTTAGGTCGGGAGTTCAAGACCAGCCTGACCAACATGGAGAAATCCTGGCTTAACTAAAAATACAAAATTAGCTGGGCGTGGTGGTGCATGCCTGTAATCCCAGCTACTCGGGAGGCTGAGGCAGGAGAGTCACTTGAACCCGGGAGGCGGAGGTTGCGGTGAGCCAAGATCACACCATTGCACTCCAGCCTGGGCAACAAGAGCAAGACTCTGTCTCATAAATACATACATACATACATACATACATACTTCTCCATGGAAGTAGATTCTGATATCATCTGCACTTTGCAGTTACGTAAACTCAGAGCCAAATAAGTAACTTGCTCAATGTCAGGCAGCTGATGATTGATGCAGCCCACATCCACACATAGATCTGTCTGACTCCAAAGGCCATATACCTTCCTGAAGTAAGTAGGTGGGACTTTTTTTTGCAGGTGACAGAAACTCCAGCTAGGTTAAGCAAAAGATATGTATTGTCTCATATACCTGAGCGGGTCCAGAGTCTACCACAGCTCTGTCAACTCTGTCTCCATTTCTTCTCTTCACTGTATATATCAGCTCTTATTCTCCAGATGGCTTCCTCCTTCTGGGAGGAGGCAAGAAAATAGATAATGGGGCTTGGGAGAGAACGGCTGCAGATAGGCTAAGTCTTACATCTTCTCAGTTTTGGGTCTCTGTGAAAAGAGACAGCTTTGGTCTCTCAATATTCAAAGATAAAGTTGCAGGGAAGATCTCTCATTGGCTGGCTTGGAACATATGCCTATTGTTTGAGACCAAGTGCTTTGGCCAGGAGGCATTTTACCAATTGGCATCCCCACCGGGTCTAACACATAATGGGTGGAAAGGGAGGAGGCACTTCCTCCAAAGGAGAGGAATGCTGCTTACACTGGCAGGCAGGAGAGCCTAGCAAATCAAAACCACGTCAAACCACAGCATTAATTTGTTAAACCTCTGCAATGCCACATGCCTCTCATTAATACTTAATATGTCTGAGAGTGCATCTCTATTTGGTAGCAGAAACTGGAGAGCTGCCACAGAAGAGTGATCTCCTGGGCTTGCTCCTCCAGCTGAAGACACAGTATCCGTGGAGACCCATGGTGAGAGTACAGCCAGAACCCCAAAGTTTTGTGTAGAGGTTCTGGAAAGCCTGGAGCCCCACAACTATCCCAGAAGGGCTGGGAGTTAAACCAGAAGGACATCTGTTTTGCTATGAAAACAATGCATTTGGGGGAACAAGGAAGGTATCAACGTGAGAAGTTGCCCATCACACTTAAAATTCTATGTCTTTGGCCAGGCACAGTGTCTCATGCTTATGATCCTAGCACTTTGGGAAGCCAAGGCAGGCAGATCTTTTGAGACCAGAAGTTCAAGACCAGCCTGGGCAACATGGAAAGACCCCATTTCTACAAAAGTACAAAAAATTAGCTGGGCATAGTGGCATATGCCTATAGTCCCAGCTACTTGGGAGGTTAAAGTAGGAGAATCACCTGAGCCCAGGAGTTCGAGGCTGCAAAATGAGCTGATTGTGCCACTGCACTCTAGCCTGGGCAACAGAGTGAGAACGTGTCTCAGAAAAAAAAGAAAGAAAGAAAGAAAGAAAAATCTGTATCTTTGTTTGGCTGCTCCAAAGGGTTTTAGATGCTTATATCATTAAAAGGGAATCAAAAAGTTGCATGTGTTGATAAGGTTGGTCTAGATAAAAGGAAATAGATCTTTTTGATTAAGCGGTCCAGAAGGGCTTGAATTGTAACCCCCAGCTACGGAGCTATAACTTGCCTTGTGTTTTCAGTGACAGAAACAAGTCCTCAGCCTTGCAGATGTCGAGGTGCAGGGATTCCTATGTCTCGGGTCATAGGAAAAGAAAGCATGCCATAGGAAGTGAGAGTGGCTGATCACAGAGAAAGAGACTTTGAGCATCTGTCCCTGGAGACCCACATGGCATTTGCTGAGCCATTGAGAGGAACAATTCTCTGCATTCTGGTTTTATTTACACGGAAGCACTTTTGTCCTCATTGGTTTACAAGTTGGACATGGGGGTGGGGAGCATCCAGCAGTTTAAGCCTCTCACTAATTGCTGTTTTTAGTTGGTATGGTCTCTTCCTGATGGGTTCTGTGGGTTCAGTTAAGGCTTTTGACTGTTGGCAATGGGATTATTCAAAGCCTTAATTAAGTGCCTGCCTGCTTATGGGGCTGAGTGCCAGTTGCTGACACAGACGCAGGCTCTGAAGCTTGGTCATGCCATGCCCCTGGCTCACCCTTCACTCTTCACCCTCATAACATACCCATGAGGTAAGTTTTATAGACATTTTCTGTGGTCTGATTTGTTTGGGGTGTTAATGTTTTCCTTCTTTTTTTTTTTTGTGCAACCACGTCCATTTATTATCTGAGTGAGCTTATACTTGGAGATGGGGCAGAAGAAGATTGATTCTTCTTCAGCTAATCCCTCAGCACCATTGGTTTTATTTCCTACTATTTTTCAGTTTTTAATCACCAGTCCTCTTCTAGTCTTTTATCATAGGAGAAACAACACTTGTAACAGGGTAAGAAGTTCACAGTAATGTGTTACAGGCAGGCAGGCAACAATCATGAATACATAGACAGTGTTGCAGAATGAGGCTTTGTCAGCTTAGGGGAGATGTCCATCTAGAAGAATTCCTTAATGTCCCCTCCTCCAGGCCCAGCCTTTCCCAGCATCCCTTCAGTTACTTAACAATCAAGTAAATACTCAGTGGCAACCCCTCGGGTCTGTTGTTCCCAGCCCTAAAGATTCTTCAGCTCACTGCTCATATCTTCTTGGTGCATCTTCCCAATCCCCAGTGTCCTGCTGGGCAGTCTGTTTTCTCCCTGGCCTCAGCTCAATCCTGCTTTCTCTCCTTCCTGGTCTTCCTCCATCCCTGATGTGGGCAGAGCCTCAGTTCCTTCTTCCTGCTCATGTGACCTATCTGCGGTTGGGCCACCGCAGCTGTGCCCTGCAGCTGTGTGGGTTTGTAGTGTGTGCATTGCGCCAGGCCCTGCCAGACAAAAAAGACATGCGGCAGATCTGCAGAATCAGCACAATCACCCCCTTTCTGCTACTCACCAAGCTTGGAGAAGATGGATATGTTGCTTTGAGTCTTGGAGGACCTATAGGGACAAAGAATTTGCCCCTGCTCTGAGCACAGGCTATGGTAGCCCGTCCTAAGCAACTGAGGATAAGTTGAAAGCCCTTGATATATGTTAGAGAAAAACCAAAATGTTTAGTGCTCTAACAGATGTTTTGCTTTTAGTCATTAAGTAAATCTCAAGGCAGCACCAGGTTCTGGAAACTGCCTCTCAAGTGAGACAGGCAGGTAGAATGCAGTGGCCAAGCGACTGCCTGCCTGCAGCTCAGCTTTCTCCTCAACCTTCAGCAAGCACAGAATGAGCCCTCATTCCTTTTAAAGGCCTTTTGAGGCCATAAAGGTTTTTGAGGACATTTTATGAAGCTGGAGCACAGTTTTACTATTTAAAATTATTATAGGGGTTATGGTGACTATATCTTTATTTTTATGACAAGTTGTTGGTTATACCCTTGATTTATTTGATACCGGGCTTTTGTTCAAGAATACAACCTCCAATTAAATGTGGTTACTGTGTCAAGAATGCGATTCTCTCCTTAGAGTGACCCTCTTTGGTGCCATTTCCAAAACTCATTGTGGTGAAAACTCAGGGCTGTCTATTCATGTTTGTGAGCATTTCTTCTGTGGTTACTTGGTTTTCTCATATGGAGGATTAGAGGGTACTAAGGCTGTGGGTTGGACCCAGAGGAGAATGCAGGGGAAAGGAAAGAATCTTCCCTAAGAAGCTAAGTGGGTCACCATTTAAAACCATAATACTTCAGAGATGGGAGGAACCTTAGATACCAAAAGCAATTTCCTCCTTAATACAAGGAAGGAATTACAACCCAAGAAAGCTAGGACACCAAGCCAGGCCCAGAGTGTGCAGGCCTTGGCTTGCATACTAGCCTCTCTGTACCACACTGACTCTCCTAGGGGTGTCTTAGGTACACACCTGGCAGGCACCAATCCTGTCCTATTACGAAAACAAGGGAATAGCCCAAGACTTGCTTATGGTGTGATTATAACCTTGGTGAACCATTTGACACTTTCCAAAAGTGGGGAGCAGATATTGCTTTAACCTATAAGGGATTTAGGGTCTCTTGGAGATAGACGCTTATGAATACTTTTGGTTCTACAGAACTTACCTCACCAAAAACATGAATTTACGATGAGGCATGGAGACAACCACTCAACCTGGAAACCAAAATTATGGTCTCCAATCTGCCATTTAAGCTGCCATGTGAGATCATGGCAAACCATCTACTTCTCCAGGCCTCTTTTCTAGGCTACATGGGCCCAGTAAAACGACTGGCTTTGTGAGCTGTTGTGGACATTGTTGGTGCCCTACCCGTATACCTTCATTAGGCCCATTCCCAGCTGCTGTGAGTGTTGGTGAGGACTTGCAGGAAGGGGTCTCTGAAGCCCTATCTGAGGTTCTGCTTCTGGGTATCCAAACCAAAGACATCTCCGTCATAGCTGCAAGAGTCAAGTAAGAGTCTATACATGGCAGCCCTCTGAAAACTACAGGACCAAAGAGTTTTTACTGGCTCTTGATGAAGATCCTGACTGTAAAAATCCCAGCTATGACTTCTTGGTGGAAGGCCAGTGATGACAGCAGATAAGGCAACCTGGGAGGGCAGGGCTGTTGTCATGCATCCCAAGGATGTGAACCCAGGCTTATTCCTTCACCACCCAGAGGTCCAGGGTAGTGGCAGACAGTAAAAACGGATTGATTTTCCATATTGGGAGGGCAAGTATTAAAGTTTCAAATCATTCAGACCTTGGAACTGAACAAGGTCACAAAAATTCCTGCCTTTGCTTCAGGTCCAATGTGCTATAAAAGTATCATAGTGAACTGCAACTTTCTTAAGTGATGCCAGTTTCAGCATATTTTCAAATCCCTAAATATTTATTTTAAGAGGGCATTTCAGAGGTAAGCTTGGGGTATGTGTAGAAAGTGAGAGGAAAAGAGAAAGAGACAGAAGGATTGTGTCCCTGAGGTCTGGAACGTTTGCAATGTCCCCAGTTAATCATTGATGCCCCAGAGCCCAGTGAGCCACCAGAGCTGGCCCTGCTGCAGGGGGCCAGTATGCTTGCTAATGGAATGCCAGGACGCCTTTGGCGCAGTTAATGATTTACCTCCTCCTAGTTGCAGTGCTTGGCACTCCCATTCTCTGAAGCTGATAGAAGCCTGGGTAGACCAGCCCTGCCTAATGGAGTGCAGGAGAAGACAATGATGGTTTGCAGATTCACTGTATGAGCAGAGTCCTGAGGGGCCACCTTCTGTAGGAAAGGGTTTCACACGAGAAGAATACTTTAACAGTGTAATTGTTGTCTGATGTTCCCATGCATGAACGTTTCTGCCTTTAGGGCCACAAGATGACATGATTTTATATGGGCGCATGACATCTGTCACCTTTAAACATGCATAACATTTATTTGCATGGCTCTTTTATTTCCGCTACTAGATTTAAATTCCTTGAGGCCCTCAACAAATTAATGAATGTGCTATATACATTCATTATACAGCACACTAATATAAAAGAAATGCATTTTTTAAGTAAAATTCTTTTTTCTGTTTTGCAAAGGCCAGGTGTACTATTGCAGAACTCTCAGAAACTAATAGTTAACTAAAAAGAAAGGAGGAGACTCACAATCCTAACCACCCAGAGACAACAGCTGTTAACACACCATTTTATATTACAGTGGCTGTGAGACCCTGTGCATCCCAATGGATGCGGTCTCCTTCAACACTGTCAGCCTAAGTTCTGGAACACTTGTTTTGGTGAGGCTACAATGGCTTCAGGCATTGTTCACATGGCTTTTGGGGAATCCACTCCAGAGTCTCAGCATTTCCTCCAAAGTACTCAATCTCTGTCATGAGTATAGTTTAGATTTTGATAGGAAAGGGATATATTTTTGTTTCCAGACATTGTAAATAAGATGGACCATATTGATTTGGAGTTTTATTGTTGTTTCTTTTTCACTGAAGCTTGACCACAAATTAGTGGGGACAGAAAGGCAGTCTTGTGAGATTCACAAACTGGCACTGAGGGGTGACTATATGGAATAATCAAAGAGGGATTGTTCACTTTGGGAGTTTTCCCTGTTATTCAAGGCTTCCTTCCTTAGGAAGAAATCTGCATCCTGGTTACAGAGACTCTGGTCTAAGGGTGGGCTAGGGGCTGAGCACCTGGGAAGAAAACTGAGCACAGTCCAAAGACAACGACCGGCGCTTTTTAGCATAGCTCTTTCCTCGCTTAGTATGCTTAGGGAAGAGACTGTATTTGGATGCCCAGGCCTGTGTGCACATGCGCCAATATAGCATCACTCTGTGACCTTGCAGGGGGTGTGAGTAGGATTATTGCTACAGATCAGTGAAGCCTTTCTTTGTAAATGCAATTTGGGGGTCATTCAGTGAATTTTGATTTTGCTTCATCCGTATCCATTCTCTCTTTCCTTGAAGTGAATACATGGATAAAACTATTGCTACCACTGTTTTGTAATGCAAACAACTTTGTTCTCAGGAAGCTCCTATGATGCCTTCTACTTTCCAGTGCTAAAATCCCCAATTCTGGGTCCTTGGCTGTGCATTAGTGAGCCATTCTGAACCCTAATCCTCCAAAGATGAGTTAATTCTGAAGAGCCTACTGAGTTTCAAGTGTTTGAAGGCCCTTGGGGGACTTCCTTTCTTTAAAACTCAAAGTGAATTCTTTTCTTTGAATTTATCTCTGCATTTTCCCCTCTTTTGAGAGATGTCTTCTCTCTGACTGGGTTGCTATGAAACTCAGATGATTGCACCACTGTACTCCAGCCTGGGCAACAGAGCAAGACTCCATCTCAAAAAAAAAAAAAAAAAGGAAACTCAGATGAGCCAAGTACTTAGAGAAGTGCTGAACCCTTAGCACTCAGCAAATGTCAGCTGCTAACTACAGTTAGAGAAAGGCAAGTGGTCTAGAGCAGCACTACCCCATAGGACTGTCACAAGGCCTGGATGTAATTGTAACTTTTCTAGTAGCCACATTAAAAAGTAGAAACAACTGAAATTAATCTGAATACATTTAATTCAACATATCAAAAATACTACTTTTCAACATCTAATCCATATTTTTAATTATTGAGATATTTTGCCCTTTTTTGTATTGTCTTCGAAACCCAGTGTGTAATGCACACTTACAGTGCAACTCAGTCTCACTGGCCACATTTTGAGTGCTCCATCGCTACCTGTGGCCAGTGGCTACCGTGCTGGGCAGTGCAGGTCCTGAACCTTGCTACTCAAGGTGAGTTCCAGGGACCAGCAGCATCAGTAGCATCTGTGAGCTTGTCCCAACTGCAGAATCTCAGGCCCCAGCCCGGACCTGTAGAAGCAGGATATGCATTTTAACAGGATCACCAAGTGATTTATTAGCATGTTGGAGTGAGAAGCACTGGTCTAGAATCCCCGTACTCAGTCCTGGCCCCCTGGGATTCTAATCTAATTGGTCTAAGGTGGGACCTGGGCACTAGTGTTTTTTTAAAGCTCCCCTGGATGATTCTAAAATGCAGCCGGGCTTGAGAGTCATTTGCATAGTGGATTCTGGACCCAGGATGCCTGACTTTGCCACCTTCTACCTTTGAGACCTTGGGAAATTGCCAAAACTCTCTGTACCTTGATTTCCTTATCTGTAAAATGAGGATGAAATGGGGGCGTTATGAGGATTAAATGAGTTAACACATGTAAAGCACTCCAAACAATACCTGACACAGAGAGAGTACTCATGAAATACAGGCTCTTACCCTTTCTTCTTTTTCTTGAAGGTCCGGGGTTACCCAGAGCCCCAGGTGACATGGCACAGAAACGGGCAACCCATCACCAGCGGGGGCCGCTTCCTGCTGGATTGCGGCATCCGGGGGACTTTCAGCCTTGTGATTCATGCTGTCCATGAGGAGGACAGGGGAAAGTATACCTGTGAAGCCACCAATGGCAGTGGTGCTCGCCAGGTGACAGTGGAGTTGACAGTAGAAGGTGAGTCCCAGGAGGCCCGAGTCCAGGAGGGAGCTGAGCTCTCAGTTACCCCAAGGCCTGCAGCTCCTGCCTTAGCCCTCTCTTGAAGGATGGAGGAACTGACAAGAGAAAACACACCCCATCCTTGAACCCCGGACCTTCCAATCTAATGGGAGAGATGTGGTCCCTGCGAACAAGGGAGGCATCCAGGAGATGATGTTTGTCAAACTAGGTATCACCTGTCTCCTGCTTGAGCCCTCCCATGGCTTCCCCTCACACTGCAGCTGAAATCAGACTCCTTAGGATGGTCTTACAGAGCCCCACCCAATCTGGCCCCTCCCTAGCTCTCAGACCCATCTTCTGCCACTCTGCACCTGTTCAGCCCACCGTGGTCACACCCACCTCTGGCCCTTCTTTGAGCAAGGCTACAGGGCCTTCACCCTTGCTGTTCCTTCTGTAAAAGAAGAGCCCTTCCCTCAGCCTCTCACCTGACGCTCCTTTCACATCCTTCAAGTCTGTTCTCAGATGTCTGCTCCTTAGAGGCCCTTTCCCAACCATCCCAGCCCTATGACTCTCCATCTTCTCACCCCACTCGAGGTTTTTCTTTTAGGACGTATTACCATCTCACATTGCAGTGTCTTCTCCATCCCCCACCACTAAATGGAAGATTTAGGAGGAGATGGACTTTCTCTGCTCATTGCCTTATCTCCAACATCTAGAAAGCTTCCTGGCACATGGTAGATACTGAAATATTTGAGGAATGAATGAACAATGTTTTTATCCTCATTAACATCATCTTTAGCGTCATTATGAAATAATACATGCTCATTATTAAAAATTATGTAACTCAGAAAAATATGTAGGAAGTAAACACATCAATGTGTTAACATATTAGTTAAAAGTAATTGCAAAAACCACATGACTTTTGCACCAACCTAATATTTTTGTCTTTTTCCCCACTCTGTACTTTAAAAAATTCTGTTAACTTTAAAACTTCTAGGAGAAAAATTGGACCATAAGTAAAATATTTTTTGCTACTAGTGTGTCCTTCTGCCATGCTGAAGCCACTCCACTGGAAAGAGTATCTCTAGTTCAGGTCCCTGGCTGACACTTAAAGCCTTGATATCAGGAAGGACATGGGGTCTGTCAGCCCCTCAGAAGTAACACAAGGTTCCCTTGACCCTTCCCGGTCTTTCTAAGACTGGAAGTTTATAAACCAAGGCTCAGACTCACTTCTCCTCTTTCAGAAGACTGTCCTCCCAATCTGGTTTTCAGGGGACACTAGATGGAGAATTAAGGTAGTCAGGGAAGGTTCCAGAAGGGGGCGAGGTGCACCTGGGCCAATGGCCGCCCTTTGCCCTGTTTTCCCTGTCTCCCCACACCACAGAAGGGCCAACAGGCTGTTTCACAGAGTGGAGCATGCATAGTTTGGATGCTTTCCTTAAATTCTTTAACTGAGTGACTCACTTACTCTAATGACCTTTGAGTGCTTTTGGCTGGGGCATTCCAGATGGAAAGTGGCCCCTGCTCAGAACCTCAGGATGGACCTCAGCTCTGCCATCCTGGTGCTGTGCTTTCCCCTACATGAACCCCCTTTCAATGCCTGAACTTTGTGTTGATGCCTACAAATAAAAATTACCCTGTTCCCTCTTCTGAGTTCTGTTTAGAGCTGGGGAAATTGAGAAAGCACTGAGTTATGAGTTTGTGCCAATGAGATGTGTGACTCTAAACCTCTGCACCTGTCTTTCTGCAGGATAAAGGGTTTGACTTTGGTGGTCTCTACAACCTGGACTAGCCCTTGTTTTCTATGATCCACATTAAGGGAAGACTGGAGTCTGTTAGGAATACAGGGGAGGCATATAAAACCTAGATAATATGAAAACGTTTTCTTCAATCCCTACTGTTCAGGAAGTGAGATCTGATGTCATGACCAAGCAGGAAAATTTTTAGTAGCTCATGGTACTCAGGGCAGGGGAAAGGAAATCAGGCTGAGGGCTGTAGAGGAAGGAGAGCAGGCTAAGGCTCTCAACCCCACCCCTCCCCTTTGGTTTTCATTTGGGGAGACTCAGGCCCTCAAATTAAAATTAAAATACAGTTAATTAAAATAAAATTAAGACATAAAATGTAAGATACTTTCTGTCTTCTAACTCTAGGAGATAGAGAACAGCCTAAAGGATGCAGCTCTTTAAATGTGTGTGAGTCCTATGCACATTCTGCTTCTGCAGCAAGACCGATTTTAAGCTAATGTGTGGTTTGGGGCCACCCCACAGACCTAGGCCTGAAAGAGTCCACTCTGGGCCCTTCTGCCATGGATGAGTTGCTGGCTGTGCCAGGCTAGCCCAACCCTTTACAAAGGAAACCTAGCAGCCCAACTGCCTTCCCTCCAGCTCTCTGTGCTATGCTTCTTACTTGGAGTGAGCAGAGGTCCAGGAATTCAGAGTGTAATTCATATGTGGAGTTTTGTAATCCTTTAGTGGTCAAGTTTAGGAGGCAGTGTTGTGCAATGGAAAGAAAGTCAAATGGTCTTGGATTGAATTTTAGCTCTACTAATTTCTAACTATGGAGAAATTAACCTTCCTAAGCCTTACTTCCTTTTCTGTGACTTGGAGTTCATGGCTGCCCCACAGTGTGGTACAAGGATAAGCACAGCTAGTAGGAAGTAGCACCCAGAAAGTGGTAGCTTCATCATTGTTTGAACTGGCATTAGCATCCTTAGAGCTACTTAAAAAGGGAAATCTGCAAGAGAGAAAGATTCCTCATCTGACGTTTAATGTAGTGATCAGGCCCAAGAAACATTCAGAATCCCCCAAGAGAACCAGTGCCTTAATGAGGGCCATGCAGTTATTCAGGGCCTTACATGATGGAAATCAGCCTTGGTCTGAGCCCCTGGAAGGCTATCTGAAGACAGCTCTGACACTTGCCCACCTCCAGAGGTCAGGTCATGAGGCTTGGTGCAGAGCAAGGAAGAGACGTGGTACCTGCCCTCTGAGAACTTCCTCTCCCGTGGAGGACCACAGACCTGTCCTGTAGAGATTTAATGTGAGCCACATATATAATCTTTTTTTTTTTTTTTGAGGCTAGGTCTTGCTCTGTTGCTCAGACGAGAGTGCAGTGGTGTAATCACAGCTCACTGCAGCCTCGACCTCCTGGGCTCAAGCGATCCTCCTACCTCAGCCTCCCAAGTAGCTGGGACTATAGGCCTGCACCACTACACTGAGCTAATTTATGTATTTGTATGTATGTATGTATGTATGTATGTATGTATGTATGTATGTATTTTTCTGAGACAGGGTCTTGCCGTGTCACCCAGGCTGGAGTGCTGTGACATGATCTTGGCTCACTGCAACCTCTGCCTCCTGGGTTCAAACAATTCTTCTGCCTCAGCCTCCCAAGTAGCTGGGATTACAGGCGTGTGCCATCACGCCCGGCTAATTTTTGTACTTTTAGTAGAGATGGGGCCTCACCATGTTGGCCAAGCTGGTCTTGAACTCCTGACCTTGTGATCCGCCTACCTCAGCCTCCCAGAATGCTGGGGTTACAGGTGTGAGCCACCGTGCCCGGCCTTATGTATTTATTTTTTTAAAGATGGGGTTTCACCGTATTGCCCAGGCTTGTGTAATCTTAAGTTTACCAGTAGCCACATTTTAAGATATCAGGTAAAATTCATTTTAATAAAATACTTATTTAACCTATTATATCCAAAATATTACCATTTCAATGTATAAGCGATATAAAAATTATTAATGAGATATTTTACATTCTTCAACATCTGGGATGTATTTTACACTTACAGCACACCTCACTTCAGACCAGCTATAATGCTGAGTGCTCAATAGCCACAAGTGGCTAACAGCTACTCTTTTGAACAGTGCAGTTCTAGAAGCTGCCACCTGAATAGGAATAAACAAGGTTTACACAGAACAAAAAGAGAAAGCCACATGGATGAACAGGTGTTGATATGGTTTGGATGTTTGTTCCTTCCAAGTCTCATGTTGAAACGTGATTTCCAAGGTTGGAGGTAGGGCCTGGTGGGAGGTGATTAGATCATGGGGATGGATCCCTCATGAATGGCTTAATACCATCCCCTTGGTGATGTGTGAATTCTTGCTCAGTTAGTTCACATGAGATCTGGTTGTTTAAAAGAGTCTGGGACCTCTCCCTTCTCTCTCTTTCTCCCTCTCGTCATCTGACATTTCTGCTCCTGCTTCACCTTCCTCCATGATTGTAAGCTTCCCGAGGCCCTCACCAAGAGCAGATACTGGTGCCATGCTTCTTGTACAGCCTGCAGAACCACAAGCCAAATAAACCTCTTTTCCATGTAAATTACCAAGCCTCAGGTATTTATAACAATGCGAGAACAGACTAACAGGTGGTGAGTAGTCCTGGGTCATCACACATCCACACAGTGAGCATCGGACATGAGGTGGAGTGAGTGCCCAAACGGTGGGTGTGCCCCAGCCCCAGTGGTCTCAGTCTGAGAAGGCCTTTGACTTTTCAAGGACCAGAGAGTCACTTCAGGTAATAAAGGGTTAACTTTAAGGACATAAGCTCAGGAGCCCAGGGAAAGCCAAACTGGCAGCCCCCAGAGGAGATCCAGACCTCAGATGGATCACCCACCTTACAGGATTGGTTAGTGCAAATGCATGTGCACAGAAATCACCTGGCGAATCTGGTTGAAATGCAGATGCTGATTCCATAGGTCTGGAGCAGAGCCTGGGAGTCTGCATTTCCAGCCGCCAGTTGATGCCATGCTGCTGGTCCACAGACCACTCTTGGAGTAGCAAGGAGGGATTTAATTACATGTGTGATATATTCCACCTAGTACAGTGATTCTCAAACTTGAGCATGCATCAGAATCACCCGGAGGGCTGCTGAAAACACTGACTGGGCTGGAGCCGTCTGCCTGGCTCTCCCCTCCCAGATGGTCCAAGCACACCTCCTCCCTACCCCCAGCCACCCCTCAGTGCCGCAGCTCCTGCTATCCACACCCGCATGAAACTACTGCAGTGCAGACCGAGGCTCTGACTATGTGAGAGAGAGAGGGCCAGCCAGCAGGTCACCTAGACTGTGACAGCAGAAGGGAGAATGACCCCCTGTCACAAGATTTAAGGGAGAAGAGTAGCCCTGGTGACCACTAAGGCAGCTCTGGTGGTGCCACTGACACCAGGATTCTCGGGCCACCTTGAATTCGTAGGAAATGCTCCTGTGCCATCTTTTGTTGCCACTGCCGTTTTTCAGGGGCAGATCTCTTAGACTCCTTTTATCTTCATGTTGGGTTGGATTGATGACATTATACATTTTTAGGCCGTGTCTATTTATACTGGCTGAGTTTTAAATTACTGTGTTCCTCCTGGATGTTTGTCATGGTTCTTCTTTTGGTTCTTTTTGCTCTTATTTCTTTTGGACTGTCTTCCTTTATCTAACTTTTCTACCCATCTGAAGGACCTATAATTATATTTCCCATTTATGTTCTTTATAAATGCTTTTCAACCTCTAAAACTCCCCAATGACTTCATTTTCTAGGGGTATATACCCTATTTTTTAAAATCTAGGCAGAATCTTAAAATGCTCTGAGTTTTTGTCCTTTTCTGTCTCATTAAAGTTAACAATACAAATGTGATAGAAAGGGAAATTATTCTTTTTGCCCCACCAGACTCTTTGCTGTAAAATAGTTGTGTGTTCAAGACTGCCTTTGCAGAAGCAGCCTTACTCATTTAGTATACAAAAGAGTTAGCTGGAAAGTTACTTGGTCCCATTCTGTTCTTGAAGGATGACTTCCAAATTTCCTTTAGCTGGAATCTCTTCCCTCCTTTATCTTCACCATCCACTTTGCCTTTGCCTCTTTTTCCCTCCAAAATACACACAGGTTGCCCTTGCTGGCCTAACTTAGATTTTTGCTACTGATGCTCCCTCCTTTTTCCATCTCGTATTCCTCCACCTCCTTCTCCCATCTCCACCCCTGGCCTTTGGTAGATTTAGGCTTTTCCCAGTTGCTGTTAGTTCTAGCCTCTTCTTCATTCCTCAGATTTTATTGAACTTTGTGCTAGGATATAAAGAACAATAAAGCTCAAACTCCTAGCCTCAAGCAATCCTCCTGCCTCAGCCTCCTGAGAAGCTGTGGCTACAGGCATGTACCACCATGCCTGGCTTCACAATTCTTTATACTTGAACTTATTTGTCTTTAAATTGTAAATAAAGCCGGGCATGGTGGCTCACACCTGTAATCCCAGCACTTTGGGAGGCCAAAGTGGGCAGATCACTTGAGGTTAGGACTTCAAGACCAGCCTGACAACATGGTGAAACCCGTCTCTACTAAAAACATAAAAATTAGCCATATGTGGTGGTGGGTGCCTATAATCCCAGCTACTCAGGAGGCTGAGGCAGGAGAATCACTTGAGTCTGACATGAGGAGGTTGCAGTGAGCCAAGATTGCACCACTGCACTCCACCCTGGGCGACAGAGTGAGACTCCATCTCAAAAATACGTAAAAAATAAAAATAAATAAATAAATTATAAATAAGTATTTTAAATGTTTTTCTTCTCCACTAGAACTGTAAGCTCCATGAAGGCAAGACATGTCTCTTTTTATCAGTTACTGAATCCCCAGTGTAAGGAACCTAGCACAGGGCCTGAGCCATGATAGGTCTGGCCTGTAGAAAGAGCTCAGTAAATATTTGTTGACTGCCTCTGTAGCTGCCTTTGGTACTTCATCCCCTGTACTAAGAAAGGGATTCCGTTCCTAGTATATATAAGCACTGGTCAGAGCTTCAACAAGTAGACTAACATGTACAACAAAATCTAGAATAATATCTGAGCCTTAAAAGAAAGAGTGCTTCAAAGAGGAGAATTTTGGCAAAAATGTTATTCACATTGAGCAATTTCAGTGACCTTTAGTTTTGACTTTTTTCATTCCTTTTTTCTTCAATACCAAGTTTAATATTCAACCAGAAATTCTGGTTCTAGGCACTTCTCCAGAGGTTTTCTTAAGCCACTGGCCCTAAACAGAGACAGTACCACCCTCTAGGGGGCACTTAGGAGATTCATGGGGGCCCTTTTGGTTTCCCAGTGATTGGGAGTGTTGCTGGATTTAGGGGGCAAGCACTAGGGGTACAGGATGGGCTTCACAGCAAGAATCTTTTCCCAGTTCCTCACAGTCCTACCAGAACAGACACCACAAATATATAAATCGGTGGTTCCTTAGTCTTCAATAATACAAAAAAAAAGAGCCCAGTAATTGAAGAAATGGTCATCATTTAGAGGGAAGATTAAAAGGAATGAAGCTATCCTCCAAAATTTTTGAAAAATTTACTCTGCACAAATTTTCTACTAAATGAAATATAACATTTCTATCTATATATAATTACCTCATATAATTGTATATATAGATAGTGCTGTTACTACACTATTGCTCTGAAAATGTGGATCAGAGGAGACTTAAAACTCTTAATATTAGAAGCAAATAGTATTAAGTTAATGGAGATGCATAAAATGTAGGCATCTTATTGAGTTTTATTGCCATCTCACATTTTTTAAAACTTTGGGGAACAGTAATAAATCTATATTGTAAAAAAATTATGTATTTCCATTATTTTTTGGAGATGACTGCTGTTTTCATCCTAGCACATGTCTTCTCTATAGTCTCTTGTTATTATCACTGTTCCTTTGTCAAAACCATTCACTGAATGTGTATTTCAAGGTAAGGTGAGATTTTACCTTGAAGTCCTGTGATAAATTTTACTGTGATAATTTTCTTACTACTCAACCCCGTATCATAAAACGGAGAATTGTTTTAACACCACATTAATACATTAATCATCTTTCTAAAAATGTTCTCTACTTCAGTGGTCTGTAACTTGTCTTGCTATGTTATCTTCTTTTAAAGTTATTTTCTTCTTTCTTTTTTATATAATACATCTTTTTATTTGAATATTCTAGTGTCCACTGTAGACCTGTGCTCTTTCACTTTGCTGTGCTACTTGTACAGCATGATTTTTCATCATTCACTTTTAAATCTAAACATGCATTAGGAGTTAATGCAAGAATCTGCCATTTCATTGTCATCTAATGTGCCTGAGCACTTATGTAAATTGAAATGGTCATGCTTGAACAGTTGCATATTGAAATCCATATTTTTATAATTCACTTTCGCTCTATATCACCGTAATGCTTTAGTTAAGGCTTTACATTTATTTTCTTTTTGAAATTATCACATACGTGTATGTGTGATTAGAAGGGAATTTTGATCAGGGTCGCATGGGGATATCAGTTAATACGTGTTATAAAAAGCGGATATTTGTTCTGATAGAGTGGAGAACCACTATTTTAAGTAATCCTCAAAAAACACTTTGAAGTTGGCTACAAGTAGGGTGACTGCTCCCCACTTTTCCTGGAACAGTCCTAGCTTTCTCCTGCTATCCTGGCATGATTATTAATTGCATCTCTCTCAGTGTTGAGAGTCTCTGTTTGGATGATAAATTATATCACCGCACATTTTTAGAAGCATTTCGGCTCCTTTCAATTTTGATCACATTATTCACTTTTTGAGCAGTATGTTCTGACCCGATTCAGTCTTTCTGTATCACCTGACAAACAGAGCTAGGTCTACCTTATCCCTTCCACCACTGAACTTTCCAATCCTAAGACCTGCCAGCATTCTCTTTTACTTGTCTTTGAAAAATCTAAGATCAAATACCGTCAGTGTCTTGGCCTCTCCTTTTTCTCAGCAACTTGCTTCTGTCCTCACCAGTTCTCTTAACTCATTCTTCTATTTTTTGCATTTCTACTTTAATCCCCTTTCCACTTATTTTTCTACATAACCTTACTGTTCTGCCAGATTTTCATACTTTTACAAAATTAATTTTGCCTTATCTAACAATTTGCAACTTCAAATTTTTCCTATAAATAGACCCTGTTAGTAATTTTAGCCTAAATTCTTTTTGTCTTGATGTGAACTCTCTGTTAACTCATATTAAAATAAGCATCCATCAATTCCATTTTTAGCTGACTGCTTTATGTGATATGTTTTCATCATACCCTCTTACCCTGACATAGAAGTATCTCTCCCCAGCATTCTTTTGCTATTCTTTGGGAAAGTGCCATGTTTTTGCTTTTATTTATTTTTTAAGGAAGAAAGGAATTTAAGCCTTTTGGATTAAGATATTTAGCTCCCAAGACTTTTTAAAATGCTCAGTCTAATTTTTTTTATTGTGGTAAAATATACATACCTAACATAAAATTTACCATTTTAACCATTTTAAAGTGTACAATTGTCATTAAGTACATTCACAGTGTTGTGCAGCCATCACTGCTATCTCATTCCAGGACTTGTTTATTACCCCAAATGGAAACCCCATACCTATTGAGCATTAATTCCCCATCCCCTCCTCCCCCAGCTCCTGGCAACTACTAACCACCATCTTTCTCTATGGATTTGCCTCTCCTGGACATTTCATATGAACGGAATCCTATCATACATGGCCTTTTGGGTCTGAGCTCCTTCACTTAATGCACTTTTTCAATGTCCATCCATGTTGTACCACGTGTTAGTACTTCATTCCTTTTACAGCTGAATAATACTTCATTGTATGGATGCACCACATTTTCTTTATCCATTCATCAGTTAATCAGTCTAATTTTTATAAAATCTTTATTCCCAGATGAAATGAGTGATACAGTAGTGTGGGTAGTACAATGGATGGTACACGGATATTTTGTGATGAAATGTTAGAGACTGGATAATGCTGTTGTATGGAGCGTGTTTAGAAGGCCCTATCCATCCTCTATTTGGATGCCAGATTTTACTTTCTTCCTCCCTGCCCCTTTTTTTGCAACTAGATTATGTTTTTCATGTTTTATTTCTTCTTTACCATTGTATTTATAGGTTTTAGAAAATACAGCTGAATAAAATTACTCAGAGTACCACAACCCCCAAAATAATCAGTATTAATAACATGATACCTTTTCTTGTCATTTTCCTGTCTTTGGGTATTTTAGTTTTACCTAATTATGATCACATTAAATAGGTAATTTTGTATGCTGCACAAAATGTATTTAACAAATATTTAAATACCTACAATGTGCTGGGATTTGTTCCGGATACATCTGATGAGTGAATAAGAAGTTCTAGTGGGGATATGGGTTGGGTCTTTAGCATATAGATGATATTTAAAGCTATGGGACTAAGACCTCCTGGGAGAAATTAGATGGAGCTGGGGAGAGGCCCAGGACTCAGCCCTAGGGTGCCCCAGCATGCAAAGGTTGAGCAGAGAAGGAGGTTGAGAGAAGATGAATAACCTGGTAAAAGCAGGAAAGTCTAGAAGAGAAAGTGCTTTGAAGGGGAGTGGGACCTTGTGTCAGATACTACTGAGCATCTGAGTGAGATGGAGACAGAGTGTCAACCATTGGGTTTGACAAGATTGTGGCTGGGATGGAGCCCAGTGGAGCGGAGAGGATCATAGCCCATTTGGAGTGTGCTGAGGAACGAATGAGATAATATCCTAACATGTACCTGCACGTTTCAGATATTCTTAAACATAATTTAATGGCAGAATAAGATGTCTAATTGTACATTTTACCTGACTACTTATTTTCTTCCTACTGAGTGACATTTATGTTGCTTCTAACTTTCACTATTACAAATAAGATAAAAGTGAATAGCTGTGTAAACTTTCTCTTCTAACTTTAGCGTCGTTTCCTTTGAATGGAGTCACAGAAACGGAGGTGCTGTCCCAAGAGCAGAGCATCTTTAAAGCTTATGATTTTTCCTCACTCAAGTATTTCCAGGAGGACTGGACAGTTGGCTCTGCCTCCAGCAGCATCTGAGGGCCCAGCATCTTGACTGTCAGTTGGGTCCTTTCAAAACAAGTCTCTCCTTTTATCAATTTAGAAGTTCTTTTACTTTTGAATAGAGAATGGAATGACAAAAACCAAAACACTTTCAGGAATGAAAACTAGACACAGCTCACTAAGTAATGTTAAACAGAAATGCCTGTATCGTAATCACCAATTATATGGAGCCACAGCTTAAATGTGATGCCAGTGTTTGTTATTAATCCCTTTTCACTAAAGTTCTGGTGGAATCTTAAACCGGGTGTGGCTGATGAAAATAGCCATGATTTTTCTCCTCCACACCTATGTTCTTACACAGTCATATAAATGTGATCAGAGTCAAAGTTAAGGAAGTTTACTCTTTTGCAGTAAACTCCCTGCAAATTCCCCACAGCAACTGTCTGCTGATATCAGAGGATGACTCTACCCTCCCTGGGATAGGGTTTTATAAACATCCCCAGCTTGCGGCAAAAGAAGAACAACTTTCAGGGTGATCATCATCTCAAAAAAGACCTCTTCCTCCCACCCCACCCCTCAAAATAAAACTCCCACTACTTTAGAGTTATTTCATGGTGACATTGTGAATTGTCCCTCCCAGCTGCAGGAGCTGGATGAAAGGAGCTAACCCCAGCTGCCTTGCTGGCTTTGCTATTTAATGGCCTCCTGCCTAGCACGGCAACAGCTCACCCAGGATCAGCAGCGCCCAGTAGGATAGCGCCTACTATGGCCTCATCATCTCACCTAGGACCGACTGGCAGTGCCCAGCATAGCAGCGCCTTGCCCAGGACTGGCAGTGTCTAGCATAGCAGCGCCTTGCCCAGGACTGGCAGTGTCCAGCATAGCAGCGCCTTGCCCAGGACTGGCAGTGTCCAGCATAGCAGCACCTTGCCCAGGACTGGCAGTGTTCAGTGTGGCAGCACTGCAGATTCTGCAGGAGCTGCTGGCTCCGCTGTAGCTCATCTGCAGTGACCTGTCCTGCTCTCTTTCAGCTTGCTGCTACTTGCCAGGCCTTAAGTGGAAGAATGGAGTGTTGATTGTGTCAGTCAAGAGTAGGTGTGGTAAGAGATAGGCATGGGCCTTTCCCTCCCTCCCTTTAACTGAGAAAATGTTCTGGAGAGGTCCTGAATCACCCCCAAATAATCCCCAAAATGGAAGGTAGAGCGTACTACCCTAACAACTCAGCAGGGTGGTTGAGAGTTTTAGAATCTGGCAGACCTGGGTGAATTTCTGCACTGTTACTGACTTTGTGACCTTGTATGGATGACTTAACTTCTCTGAATCTTATTTCTCTCATCTGTTTAAAAAATAGGATAATGTAGTATCAGCTTCATAAAATTATTGCAAGAAATTCACATGATAATGTATGTAAACACCTACCATAGTATCCATAGTGACACAGCCCATGCTCAGTCAAGATTAATGATCACCATCACTATCCCACCCACCCCTGCTGTTGAATCTTTTTACTTTCATTGCTCCAAGTTGGTGGCTCAGACCTGACTCATCAACTCTTTTTCTTGCAGGAAGTTTTGCGAAGCAGCTTGGTCAGCCTGTTGTTTCCAAAACCTTAGGGTAAGTCCTGGATGTTCAAGACAGAGTAAGGGTTGGATTGCTTTCCTGCTGACTTGAGCAGGATAGGTCTGGGGAGTAAGTCTTGGCTCTCCTAGGTTATAATAACCAAAGGGCGGGAGCCTAGTACAATGAGATGTGTCATTTACACAGCACCTCCTGACCTGGCTGCCTCTGTGATTGGCTCCTTTGACTGGCCCAGCTGCTAAATGTAAGGAAGTGGGAGAGGTGGCCAGAGTCTGCAGTGGACTCTAACAATCAAGGCAATAGTCAGAAGATTGAAATAAGCAAGCCTAGAAGAGGCGGGTAACAGTAGCTGCTGTAACAGACAAGCCTCAAATCACAGTGGCTCAACCCAGGGAAAGTTTGTTTCTTACTCAGGGAAAGTTCAGTTCAGATATCCTGGAACATGGGGAGAGCCTTCCACATTATCTTCCAGGAGCCCAGGCTTCTTCCATTTTATAGTTTCATCTCCTAGGCCCTTGAGCCCCCACTGGGCCTTCTGCATCTCACCAGCAGAGTGGACGAGAGACTGCAGAGCCTCACAGGAGGTTCTTATGAGTCGGCCCTGGAAGTGGCATACAGCTCTTCTGCTCATGGTCTCCTGGCTAAAACCCAGGCTTTCAGCCAGGGCTCAGTGGAATTCAGGCATGCCTAACTGCAAGGAAGGCTAGTAAATGAAGTCTAGCTGCATGCCCAAGAGGTAGAGGAAATAGGTTTTGGTGCCACACATTTTTCTAGAGAGAGCATGAGAAAGTTTCTGAGGCATAAAATTGGGAAGGCTACACTTTGATGGCTTCTGACCTTAACTTAGTGCCTTTGAGTGAGGTGGAGAGAGGATGGTTGAATTGCTGCCTTGTCTGGGACTGGATTCTCTGCCAATTTCCTTACAGGGATAGATTTTCAGCTCCAGCAGTGGAGACCCGTCCTAGCATCTGGGGGGAGTGCCCACCAAAGTTTGCTACCAAGCTGGGCCGAGTTGTGGTCAAAGAAGGACAGATGGGACGATTCTCCTGCAAGATCACTGGCCGGCCCCAACCGCAGGTCACCTGGCTCAAGGTGAGGTTTCTGTCTGCCCTGACCCTGATCCAGCCTGTATTAGTCTGTTCTCATGCTGCTAATAGACATACCCGAGACTGGGTAATTTATGAAGGAAAGAGGTTTAATGGACTCACCGTTCCACATGGCTGGGGAGGCCTCACAATCATGACAGAAGGTGAATGAGGAGCCAAGTCATGCCTTATATGGCGGCAGGCAAGAGAGCATGTGCAGGGGAACTCCTCTTTATAAAACCATCAGATCACATGAGACTTATTCACTGTCATGAGAATAGCATGAGAAAACCCACCCTATGATTCAGTTACCTCCCACTGGGTCCCTCCCACAACACGTGGGAATTATGGGAGCTACATTTCAAGATGAGATTTGGGTGGGGACACAGCCAAACCATATCATAGCCCTAGGGACCCTGAAAATTCAGGGTTAGACCCTTCAACTAGTAGGAGTCTTTCCATTCTGTTCCTCCTGTTTCAGGCGGTTCTCAGGGGTTCTCTGTATGTTTGTTAGGGATGCATGTTCCTGTCCCTATTACAACTCTCCCTCTGTTACTCAGACCACAGTGTTCTGACAATTCTCACACTCACAAAATAGCAGAAAACTTCTGAGTCAAGACAAGCCTGACAATCTCAAGAGTGGACTGTGAAGTTAGGGTTCTAGGTGTTAAGCCACAGCTCCCTGGTTTATAAAGCCTGTGAAGCTGGATAAGTCATTTGACTTCTTGGAATCCTGGTTTCCTTATCGGTGAGATAGAAATAATACCACCTACCTCAAAATATTGTCAGGAGCCTCCATGTAGAAGGGATTTATAAATCATTCAGGGCTGGGGGAAGTGAAGCTTAAGGGGGAGAGGTGGGCGGGCAGGGAGGCAGTGGCATGGGGTTGGGGATGGCTGTTAAACAGGGCAGTGAGGATCCTAGGGGAACAGGTAGAGTCATGGCCAGGGGAATAGGTTTTTCAGAGTTGGAATGCCTGGGTAAAAGTGGGTATTGACACCTTTTACCTGCTTCCTAATTCTCTTGAACTCCCCTAGGAAAAGAATAAAAGGAATGGGGAGGTAAGGAAAAACTGAAGTGAGGAATATGGGATTTCCTACCTCAAACTCAGGCTCCTTTGAAACAGTTTTCAGGCAACTGCTCTAAGCAGGACAGAGCACCACACCACATCCACAGACCTCAAGTCAGGGCCCCTGAACTGTTTAAAGTTGGCTCTCTGAGCACATTGACAGGGCCCACAGCAGAGGACGCTGCTGCCCAGGCCCTGGAGTCTATCCCACTAGGATTGGCAGGAGGCAGGAGGACACAGCCAGAAGGTGAGCAGATTTGTATGACCAAGTTACCCCATTGCCATCCACAGGGAAATGTTCCACTGCAGCCGAGTGCCCGTGTGTCTGTGTCTGAGAAGAACGGCATGCAGGTTCTGGAAATCCATGGAGTCAACCAAGATGACGTGGGAGTGTACACGTGCCTGGTGGTGAACGGGTCGGGGAAGGCCTCGATGTCAGCTGAACTTTCCATCCAAGGTATCGACCAGTGGACGGCTAGTGCAGAACGATCCCTGCCTGGTGCCGCACCCTCCTAGAGGAGCTGCTTGTTCACTGCGCACCTGTGTGTGTATACACCTGGCCCACTCACACACCCAGGCACTCCCCAGGGGCAGGTCTTTTTTTTTTTTTTCTCTTCAGACAGAGTCTTGCTCTGTCGCCCATGCTGGAGTGCAGTGACATGACCTCAGCTCACTGCAACCTCCGCCACCCAGGTTCAAGCGATTCTCCTGCCTCAGCCTCCTGAGTGGCTGGGACTACAGGCACACACCACCACGCCCGGCTGATTTTTGTATTTTTTGTAGAGACAGGGTTTTACCATGTTGGCCAGGCTGACCTCAAGTGATCTGCCTGCCTTGGCCTCCCAAAGTGCTGGGATTACAGGTGTGAGCCACCACGCCCGGCCACAAGGGGCAGGTCTTTGACAAGAAGAAAGGGTGAACAGGGCAGCGCAGACCTGGCCACGAGGGAAGATGCCCTGTGCTTGGCTGCCACCTTCCCTTGTGTTCCCATAGTCTCCCCCACCATGTCTTCAGTCCTTTCTTCTCACCCGGACTCCCTTTTGTATCTGTGGTTGCCAACTGGAAGAATGAATGTTGCTAACGTCTTGCCATCACCCCAAATTTAACCTGCCCAGAATTTACTGATAATTTACTCTGTCTTTCAAGTCAGGCGATCCTTCGACTTGACCCCCTCTACCAGGGTTCCCATGTTCCTTCACACCCAGACTGGACTTTCCAGCATCCTTTTGACCCCTGCCTCTTTCTCCTTGAGTCGTCAGCCCTGTCAGTTCTTCCTTGTAAGTCTTGTTGAACACGTCTCCTCCTTACAGTTCTTTGGTTCCTCAAGTCCGGGCTGAGGAGGGAGTGCAGGGATGGGGAAGGGGCTGCATGTCACTTTACTGGAGCAGGAACTCGGGGGTCAGGAAGGGAAGTGGCTTTCAGTCCTTCCTCCTTCTTTGTCCCTCTCTTTTCTTCTGATTTTTCTGTTCTGCATCTCCTTCTTCTTAGAAACGATTCATCTTTGCTCTTGTTACTTTTTTTGGCCTGGGTATTTTTCACAATCTACAGAAAGAAATATATTTCACAGTACATTGCAACCCAGAACATGTATACATAGGTAAACAAGTTTCAGGAAACCATCCTGACCGTACTGTGTACAGTGCATGCTGGTATTCTCTATTTCACTTGACATCACTAAAACAAGAAATCCTGGTCCTGACCGGAGGACCTGACTTGGTGGCTCACTGCTGAATAAGGAGATGCCACCAGACACCCAGAGCAATGTGTGCCTGCCCTGACATTCAGTTAAATACTATTCCCTCCTGATGGACTTCATGACAAAATATGTTGCCTGATATTTGTTTTAAAATACTCAAAAACAAATAAACGAAAGAAAACAAAAATGGATATATAAGACTGGCAAAATGTGGTATCTCCTTAATCGTGGTGATGGCTTTCAGGGTTTGTTATCTCTTTCTACTATTGTATATTTTTAAGTTTACCATGATAAAATTTGAGAAAGAATATAGCAGGAAAAATATGTATTTTATGTTTTTTCTTTGAAGAACTGGATAACATTAAAAGTATGCTTTTCTGTACACTGGTAAGTTACAGCATTTGGGTTTGGAATTTTCAGTAGATGTTTGTTTGTCCCTGGATTGGTTTTTTTTCCTTCTGTTTAGTGAACAGAAACAGATTCCATGCCCTCAGGGTATGGTAGCACCAGCCACTATTAAGAAGCCCAAAGGACAGAACCTGAAGCTTTGACAATGTACTCTAGGGCTGGGGGGAGTTCAAAGGCCAAAGACGTTCAGCACCAGGGAAGCTGGAAGGAGCCAGCAGGGTGGGACCACGGTGATGAGGAAGTGCCTGGGGAGGGAAATTTTGGTGTATACAGCATTCTACTAACAGTCTTTCCACCCTTCCCCCTTTTTCCAGGTTTGGACAGTGCCAATAGGTATGTCTAGGCTTTGTGACTTTTACGTTTTCCCTCTTGAAATGCCCTGCAAGGATGTTACCGAGAAATGCCCTGAATTTCTGAATCATCTTATGGGGCAGAAGAATTGGCCATTTGGAGGATGTTGTTTTATTTTGGGTGTTTTGTCTTGTTCTCCTATTGTAATATGACACACGGGTTCTATCTCAGGTTGCTGTCAGTATTGAGACTGGAAAACTCAGTGTTGCCACCTTTCACAGTATCTACACAGTCTCTTCTCTGGTTAGCATCCTGAGGAAGAACACTGCTCTGAGAAGGCCGCCTTCCTCATTCCAGGGCGGAATCTGTTCACTCATCCAGCCCAGACCCAGCAGGAGCCTCTTTCCTGTGTGTGAGGCTCGGCGCTAGATGCTGGATGTGCAGGGGTGGGCGTAGAGGAGGGCTTAAACCACACGAACGCACATTACCAACTGGGATGCGTCTGTGAGGAAGGACAACAGGAAGGCACTGATTAGAATAGAGGGGCAGGGAAGCCATTTCGGGAACTTGGTATTTGAGCTCAGACCTGTGCAAAGGAATGTTAGCTGGTGAAGAAAAGCTCAGGGAGTGTGCTCCAAACAGCAGGGATAGCATGTACAAGCTGTGAACCAAGAGATGGGCCCATGGGGACCCAGAAGGACGCCAGTGTGGCCGCAGCCTGGTGAATGGCAGGCCAATGTCTGTACGATCAGGAGCTGGCATTCCTGTGGGCCCTCTTGTGGGGCTCAGTTTCATTCTTAAAGTAGTGGAAAAGCTGTTGGAAAATCCTTGGGCTTGAAATGACATAATTTGATTAATGTTTTTAAAAGATCGACTATGGTCGCTGTATAGAAAATAGATTAGAGAGGGCAGAGTGGACACGGGACACCGGTGGCAGAGGTTGAACTACGGAGGCACTAGTAGAGAAGGGAACTGTAGGGAAAGCAGGGCTCTGGGCAGGGTTGTGGGACAGGCAAGTGTCGGGAATGGCTGCTTGTGCTGTGGCTTGGGAAACTGGGCAAACTGCAGAGAAAGATGCTCTTACTTGCCCTTAACTTGTGGGCTTTTGTGATCCCTGGAATCCGTGCTTGTGATGAGTAATATTTGTGAGTAACCAGATGATCATTCTATTCTCCCCTCTCCTCACCCACCCTACCCCCACCCTCACCACCACACAGGTCATTTGTGAGAGAAACAAAAGCCACCAATTCAGATGTCAGGAAAGAGGTGACCAATGTAATCTCAAAGGAGTCGAAGCTGGACAGTCTGGAGGCTGCAGCCAAAAGCAAGAACTGCTCCAGCCCCCAGAGAGGTGGCTCCCCACCCTGGGCTGCAAACAGCCAGCCTCAGCCCCCAAGGGAGTCCAAGCTGGAGTCATGCAAGGACTCGCCCAGAACGGCCCCGCAGACCCCGGTCCTTCAGAAGACTTCCAGCTCCATCACCCTGCAGGCCGCAAGAGTTCAGCCGGAACCAAGAGCACCAGGCCTGGGGGTCCTATCACCTTCTGGAGAAGAGAGGAAGAGGCCAGCTCCTCCCCGTCCAGCCACCTTCCCCACCAGGCAGCCTGGCCTGGGGAGCCAAGATGTTGTGAGCAAGGCTGCTAACAGGAGAATCCCCATGGAGGGCCAGAGGGATTCAGCATTCCCCAAATTTGAGAGCAAGCCCCAAAGCCAGGAGGTCAAGGAAAATCAAACTGTCAAGTTCAGATGTGAAGGTGAGTAGAGGTAATTAGGGTCACCGATTGCCAAAATGTAGCCCCTTGGTGGCCACTCCCTTCCTTCAGCACCCAGCTAGTCTGCATCACCTATATCCACTCATCTTCTTGGACTAGCTCCCCTAGAAAACCACCTTACAAGGGCCTTCCCCTTAGGAGTGACTCATTGTAGAAATGCCCTTTATTCTGGAGAGACCCCTAACAGTAGCCTGTTGTTTGCTCTTGGATAGAGTACTGGCCCTGGCCCTAGTTCTTACCACCCTAGAAGAAACACCCTCATTATCGCCAACATCGAAAAGCAAACCTCATGGTCTCCTCCGCCCTTTCTTCCCCTTGCCTGGCTTTGGCCAACCTGGAGACCTTGCCCATCACGCTGTATTCATCCTCCTCAAGGCCCCTGACTCTCTCAAGAGGTTTCGTCTTGTGGAGTGTGGTTGAGGGTGAGGAAGCAGACTCAGAGGTGGGAGGGCAGCTCCACACCAAACTGAGCCCTTTCCTCCAGCTCACACCTTCCCCACCTACCTCACAATCACAGGGTGCTCTCCAGGGCATAGGGAGCTCACGTTCTTTACCTGGCCCTGTAGTTTCCGGGATTCCAAAGCCTGAAGTGGCCTGGTTCCTGGAAGGCACCCCCGTGAGGAGACAGGAAGGCAGCATTGAGGTTTATGAAGATGCTGGCTCCCATTACCTCTGCCTGCTGAAAGCCCGGACCAGGGACAGTGGGACATACAGCTGCACTGCTTCCAACGCCCAAGGCCAGCTGTCCTGTAGCTGGACCCTCCAAGTGGAAAGTGAGTACACTTCTCCAGGTCACCCCGCATTCTCTGTGGGACAACCATTCATGGGGTGCTTCACCTTCTGCAGATGGTTCATCTCCTATAGCCCCCTGCCTTGGTGCACAGCCCGACAGAAATGTCACCCCCAATCACATGCCAAGGCCAAGTGTGTTGCTCTAGGCCAGTGATTCATAATCAGGAGTTCACATCAGAATCACCTCAAAATAAACATGCATGGCCCCACACCCAGCCCAACTGACAGCTACCTTTCCTAGGTCCCTCAGCTGTTTGAATAGTGCCGTGACTCACGTTTGTAACCACAGAGAACTGAGTGTTCATTAAATATACAGGTTTAGAGTAATGTGAGATGATGTGGGATCCCACATCTTTTATGTTTATTGTACTGTCTGTTTATAAAAGTAATGCATGTTCATTGTGGGGAATTTAAACAATATATAACCTTATGACTCAGAAATAAATTATATTTTAATGTTTTTTATACAAACTTACCATTGTGGTATTTGTATACTGCTTTCTATCCTAATTTGCTCATGTGATATTAACATCTTTTTATACAATTCTTGGAAAGCATGACTTTTAGTAGCCATATAATATTGCATGAAATGGCTGTATCTAATTTAGGTATGCTGTTATTTGTTGAATAATTAAATTGTTTCCATTTTTCACTATTATAACATACCTATGATAAATATTCTTGTACCTGTCTATCTCTATAAAATTTCCCCCTTACTCTAAATGCATATGTAAGCCCCAGGCCCATGCCATACCCTTGAGAAATGCATTAACAAATACCACAAGAGTAGAATCTGCAAATTGCAGGCTGCTGGAAACTGTGGAACAAATAACTTTCACCCATTTTTTTTCCACATACAAATTGCAAGCAAAAAAAAAAAAAAAAAGACAACCTATAGAAAACTTATATTAGAAGGTATATAGTAACATCAACAATTACAATAATTTTTGATAATCTTCTGCCAATCCTGACTGAGATAATCTTTAAAAAGTTTTTATGGGAACATCAAGAGAATTTGGACACTGATAAGATTTAATATAAAGGAATTCGTGGTGTTTTAAGATGTGATGGTGGTCTTGTTACTTTTTTTTTTATAAGTTCATCTGTTTGAGAGATATATCCTGAGTTATTTACTGGTGAAATGATATGGCTTTTTATATTTGACTTAGAAATAATTCATGTTTGGGGAGCACTGGCAGGGATATCAATGAAATAATATTGATATAAATGAAAGTTGAGAGATGGGTACATAGGAATTCACTACACTGCTTTGTCTACTTTTGTGTGTGTTTGAAAATTTTCAAAATGCACATTTCCAAAAGAAAAAAAGAGTTAGTGATGTATCCATATAGTAGAATGCCAGACAACATCCTGTAGACTGATGCTAAAACATGTTCAAGATGCACTAGGAAGGGAGAGGAGCAAAGTACAGGCTCATGTGTAAATGGAAGAAAAGATCTGTGTACACACATGCAAAAGATGCCTGTGTGTGCACAAATCATTTCTGGAAGAGCACAAAAGTCCCTCTAGGAAGGGGAAACTAGGGGTTCACAGGAAGGAATGGGGCATCTTACTTTTCACTGTATACTGTTGATTCACTGGGATTTTAACTGTTGTTTAACTGGGATTTTTACTATCCTCGTGAATTCCTTTACAAGAAATATTATCCATGCCATTTGCAGGTGGGAGTGCTGGTAGGCAGAGTTCACAGGTCTAGGAGATCAAGCCTCATCATCCAGGCCAGGTCTCTATCCCTGCGCAGGGGACAGAAATATGGTGTCAGGTCCACCACAGATTAATGGCGTATCCAGAGGGCCTAGATTCTCCTGTGGCTTCTTCTGCTGTGAATTCATCTAAGTCTCACAGAAGACTATTTTTAGCCTGTTCGCGTCATGGGGTAATACATCTCAGGTTGATTCCCTATCTTGTTGTGTTTTGTGTGACAGCTTTATTGAGATATAATTCACATAACATAAAAAGCACCCTTTTAAAGTACACAATTCAGTGGTTTTTAATATATTCACAGAGTTGTGTGGCCATCACCATCATCTGATTTCAGAACATTTTCACTACCCCTCCCAAAAAAATCCTACCCATTAGCTGTCACTCCCTGTTCTCCCATCCCCACAACCCCTGATAGCCACTAATATACTTTTTGTCTCTATGGGTTTTCCTCTTCTGAACATTTGATGTTAAATGGAATCATTCAATATGTGGCCTTTTGTGTCTGGCTTCTTTCTCTTAGCTTAATGTTTTCAGGGTTCATCTGTGTTGTAGCAGGTGTTAGTACTTCATTCATCCATGTGGCTGAATCATATTGCATTGTATGGGTATAGCATACAGTGTTTTGTTTATCCACGCATCACTTAAGGTCCATGTGGTTGTTTCTACTTTTTAGCTATGGTGAAAAGTGTTGCTATGCACATTTATGTATGAGTTGTTTTCAATACCTGTTTTCAATTTTGATGTTTAGACCACATATATTGTTGGGTCATAAGGTAATTCTGGATTTAACCCTCTGAGGAACTAACAAACTGTTTTTCACCATTTTACATTCTTCTAGCAATGTACAAGTGTTGCAGTTTTTCCACATTCTCACCAATACTTGTTATTTTCTTGCTTGCTTGCTTGGTTTCTTGCTTTTTTTAAAAAATGAGGTCTTGCTTTGCCAATGGGGCTAGAGTGCAGTGGCATGATAATAGCTCACTGTAACCTTGAACTCCTGGGCTCAAGCAATCCTCCTGCCTCGCCTCCTGAGTAGGTGGGACTAAAGGTGCTTGCCACCACACTCGGCTAATTTTTTTTATTATTTGTAGAGATGGAGGTCTCACTATGTTGCCCAGGCTGGTCTCAAACCCCTAGACTTGAGTGATCCTCCCACTTCAACCTCCCAAAGCACTGGGATTATAAGCATGAGCCACTGCACTCAGCCTGTTTTCTATTTTTTCATTATAGCCATTCACAATCATCTGACTATGATTTTTTTTTTTTTTTTGAAACAGGGTCTCACTCTGTTGCCCAGGCTGGAGTGCAGTGGCGTGATAATAGCTCATTGCTGCCTCAACATCCCAGCCTCAAGTGATCCTTCCCACCTCAGCCTCCTGGGTAGCTGGGACCACAGGCATATGCCACTATACCCAGCTAATTTTGTTTATTTTTGTAGATAAAAGGTCTTACTATGTTGCCCAGGCTGGACTTGAACTCCTTGCTCAAACAGTCCTCCCACTTTAGCCTCCTAAAGTGCTGGGTTTACAGGCATGAGCTGCCACACCCAGCCTGACTGCAATTTTGATTTGCATTTCTCTGATGACTAGTGATTTTGAGCATCATTTCATATACTTATTGGACATTTGTATATCTCCTTCAGAGAAATGCCTATTCAAATACTTTACCCATGTTTTAATTGCATCATTTACTTTTTTATTGTTGAGTTGCAAGAGTTCTTTATGTATTCTGGATACAAGTCATTTACCAGACATGATTTACAATAATCCTCTCCCATTCTGTAAAGGCTGGATTATTTGTCATGTGCGGCCACAGAAGTCCCTGCTTAGTTAGTTTAGTGATCACCTAATTGATTGGATGGAGAGTTCCTTAAATGCCTTGAACTAATACTTTTCCCAGCCTTTGCCAAGGGGCTCTGTGTGTGTGTTACGCCCATCTTCAGTGCTCCGGCCAGCAGTTTACAGCTCTGCTTTAGCCTTTACTTTCTGCTTGCACCAAAGCTCCAAGTCAGCCAGAGGTGAGACAGGAGGGCCTTCTTACATCTTTCCTGGGCAGGCTCACAGCCCTGCACAACCATTTGGGCTCCTCAGTTCTCAGGAATCTGTCAGAGCTTTTCAAAGTCCTGGACATCTCATTCCCCAGTTTTTCCTTTGAAGTTTTTTGGTCAGGCTCTTGTTAGCTCCGAATGATATTGCTGTCTCAAGTAGCTATAATGTTAAACAATTGCTACTGATTGATTTTAACAAACATCCTGGAGACAGGGCCATCCACACAGAGTAAACTTTGAGTCGGATTAAACAAAGACAACCCGGAAAATGGAGTCGTTGAAGGAGCTGCCAGACAGGGCAAATAGTGACCATTCTCTTACGCATGGGGTTTTTCAGGAGCTCTGAACCCATCCTGCCCCTTGCTAAGTGGCTGATTTTCACAAGTACCATAGGTACTGTCGGTTTTCAGAGTTACCCCAGAGCTGGGGCAAGGGGCACAAGAGTGAAAAAGCACATAGCTTGCTGTTCTTACCAAGATTCAGCTATGTTTTATTGTTGTTGTTGTTGTTGTTGTTGTTGTTTGTTGTTTGGGAGGGTGGAGGGGCAGGGTATTGTTGTTTGGGGTTTTTTGTTGTTGTTTATTGTTTTTACTTTTTAGAGACAGAGTCTCGCTCTGTCACCCAGACTGGAGTGCAATGGCGTGATCATAGCTTGCTACAGCCTCAAACTCTTGGGCTCAAGCAATCCTCCTGCCTCAGCCTACTAAGTGAGACTACAGGCACATGCCATCATGCCTGGCTAATATTTTAATTTTATTTTTTTTGGTAGAGACAAGAGTCTTGCTATGTTTCCCAGGCTGGTTTCAAACTTCTGGCTCAAGCAGTCCTTCTGCCTTGGCCTACCAAAGTGCTGAGATTAAAGACTTGAGCCACCACTCCTGGATGTTTGTTTGTTTTTATTGAATGCTCCTCAGAATGTTGCAAGCCTGTGGTTAATTTCTGGCATTCTGAAACCGTTGCTTTTGACTCTTTTTGCCAGTATTGTTGTTGCTTTTATGGAGGAGTAGATCTTCAGAGGTCTTTACTTTGCCATTCCACATCCTATCTTCTTGATGAAGACACTCGCTTTTCTAAAACTTCTCCAGTTCCTAAACATCCTAGCTAATTCTTGGCAGATGAGTTTACCATGAAGCAGGTCATCTGATGGGTGTTCTTTTAGCTCCTCCTACATACTTCTCTCTTTCTGTTTTCCTATACTACAGAATACCTGTCTGTTTCCCTTCCCAAGACTTCTCTTTCTGTCCCTTCCCATCTTCACAAGGATCTGATCTAACAATGATTTACTCTCTCACCACTTCTTCAATCTTTCCCCTTCCCTTATTGAGAGACCTCTTTTTTCTCCCTACAAGCATGCTGTAGTTGTCCCTATGCTGAAAAAGGAAAGAAAATCTTCCTTCCACTTGAGAGCCCCTGCAGCTCCTACTCTATCCCTCCACTCTCTTTCATCCCTAGACTATATTTGCCTCAAGTAGAGTCTCTATGCACAGCTTCTACTTGATAATAACAGCTAACACTCACTGAGGATGTGCTATGCTGGGTTTTGTGCTAAATGCTCTACCTGAATTGTTTCATTTAGTTATCCCAACAATCTTACAAGAAAATCATACCCATTTCCTAGATAAGAATACTGATCTTTAGTAAGGTTAAATGACTTGTCCAAGTTCACATGCCTTGTAAAAGAGAGCATATTTCTAACCCAAACTGACCTGGCATGAAAGCCTATATCCTTTTTTGATAACTCCCAAAGGCATTTCTCTAATGAGGGAGTTCAACACTGGCCAAGGGGAGGGATGGAGAGGGTGCCTCCCCACACCTTCTGGGTGGTCTGTCTGACCCTCCCTCAGTGCCAGGCCTGTCCAGGTACACCATCACTCTGTCTTGTCGCTGCCCTCCCATCGCCTATCCTCCCCTAGGATCTGGAGGAGAAAGTGCAGCTGTACAGTCAGAGCTGGCTGTAAAACTTGGCTTCAGCATCGAGTTCAACTATGGGAAATTAGTAACCTTGTCTGTAAAATGAACTCAAGAGAACAACCTCATAACATTGTCGTAATCACATCTGGAAAAGTACCTGGCACATAGTAGGCCCTCACATCTTATTAGCTTTCTTGCCCATAAACCCCTGCAGTATAATATGACATTTCTTCTCATTTCTGTATTGAATAGGCTCTCTTGAAAAGCACCAGTGATATATCTTCTAAGCACCAAATCCAGTTCCACCTTTTCTCAGCTATCAGCCACCTTGACACATGTACAGCATGTTCTGGTTGTCATAGAAGAGATTATCCCTATTGCTCTTAATTAAGGTCCCCAAACTAGAAAATGTCCCCTAATTCACTGATGTAGAAGGCTTTTGGAAAGTTCAGCTCAGCAGTTCTCAACCAGAATGTGCATTCAAACCACACAAGGGCATCATTACTGCATATTCCCAGGTCCCCGGCAGCTCTGAGCCCTTGACCTAGAATGGGGTTCAAGCTGTGCTTAGAAAACTGGAGCACATGTGAGTCCTATGATTCAGTTCTGGAATTGGAAAAAAATCATTGTAATAATTTAAAATTGAAATGTCCTCACCTGTGAGCCTGTGGCTTATACAAGTAAAGAGATACTCACAAGATTGTGTAATCACTGATGGGACATATTAAAGAAGATAAGAGACACTAGAAAATAGAGTAGGACCAACAAGCAGGAAGGAGCTCTCCAGAGGCTCGAGGGCAGCAAAAGCCAAGGCAAAGCAGGAGGCACCTGAGTCACAGAGGAGAGAAGGCAGGCCCAGGTTCTAAGCACCCCAGGGCTAGGGTGTTTTGTGACTGTGAAAAAGCCCCTGCGGGTGACTCTGCTTCAGGCTCCATGTCCCTACATCACTGGTGCTGCCTGTTTCTTAAGCATGAAGAGAGAGAAGCCAAAGGCAGGCTGCCGAGGGTACCCAGGTGTCCAGGACAGTGAGGCGTGCCTGGGAGGCTGGGGTGACTGCAGGCATCACCAGAGTGGGCAAGCTGTGATCTGAGCTGACCTGTCCTTTTCCCTCACAGGGCTTGCCGTGATGGAGGTGGCCCCCTCCTTCTCCAGTGTCCTGAAGGACTGCGCTGTTATTGAGGGCCAGGATTTTGTGCTGCAGTGCTCCGTACGGGGGACCCCAGTGCCCCGGATCACTTGGCTGCTGAATGGTGAGTTCCCCCTGCCCCAGCTCTCTGCTCCCATCCCCTGGGCCCTTTGGCGCTGCCTGAATTCTCACTTATCCCTCTGAGCCATTTATGCCTTGGACATCCTGGTGGTATGAGAAGGAAGCACAGGGCACAAAGAGAGCACGGGCACTGGGATCCTGCTCCCGACTGGCTGAGCAAGTTACTACTCCTGTCTGAGCCTTGAGTTCTCCATCTACATGGCAGGAATCATGCTGCCTATGTGCAGGGTGGTGGTTGTGAAATTAAATTAGATTATTTCTATAAAGTGGTTAATGAGATGCCTGACACATAGGGGCATGAGCAGTTGGATTTCTTTTCTTATGGCCAAACTCATAGTAGGCCCTCAATTAATATTTATTGAGTCAATAAATGAACAAATAAATGAATAAACTAATGAACCACTCTCAAAGTCGCATGAGGGATCTTACCTTTTATTTAGTGGCAGGTGGTTCTGGGACTCACAGACCAGTTATTCTTTTTAAACTGATAGTCCTATAGAGACTCGCCAACTCTTTTTTTTGTCAAGTAAGGTCCTTTAAAAAATTATTTGCCGTATATTATCACCCTTTTCTTTTTAAAGGACCATTTAATTTCAACAGTGTGGGAGAACTCTGACTTTAGAAGACTGAGAACTGTCCATTAAACTGATAAGATGGAGCAGGGACTACTGTGGGGATCCCCAGGGAGGGTGAAAGAGCCCCTGCTGAGAGTCAGGAGACACAGGCACTTGTCCTTCTCCACCACTGAGTGGTCGGGTGACCTTGGACACTTCACCCCTCGGGGTACCAGCTTCTTTATCTATGAGAAGATAGGGTGGAAAAGAAGGTTTGGGATCTCAGCTCACTCTCATACCTAATAGAATACACTCCTTAAGACAGCAGTGGGCCAGGTGTGGTGGCTCATGCCTGTAATCCGCACTTTGGGAGGCTGAGGTGGGTGGATCACCTGAGGTCAGGAGTTCGAGACCAGCCTGGCCAACATGATGAGACCCCCATCTCTACTAAAAATACAAAACTTAGCCGAACATGGTGCCAGGTGCCTGTAATCCCAGCTACTCCGGAGGCTAGGCAGGAGAATCGCTTGAACCCAGAAGCCAGAGGTTGCAGTGAGCCGAGATTGCGCCATTGCACTCCAGCCTGGGTGACAAGAGCAAAACTCCAATAAATAAATAAATAAATAAATGAAAGAGCGAGCAAGCGAGCGAGCAGTGGTCCCCAACACTTATGCACCAAATAGTCCCCATTTGTGTCTGCGTCATTGATGTATTGCCTGTGAACCTTCCTTGTTGGTGTAGTTTGCTCAGGCTTTGCTAGAAGCTGTCTTTAGTGAGTAAGAGGAAGTGCCATCTAGTCTTCCTACATGTAGTGTTCTTGGGTAGGTAAGTGAGAATTGAGGTCTGCCTTCCCTCCCAGCCCTTAGCAAAGGACAGAAGTCCTATTGGATCCAGTGATTGACTTCAAGGAGGCAGCCTCCTTGTGGCTGGAATGCAATATGGGCGTTAAGGACTAATAACGGAGTCTAGACTAAGTATCAACAAACATTTTCTATAAAGGGCCAGGTAGTAGCTATTTTCAGCTTTTCAGGCCATACAGCCTCTTTAACAACTCTCAACTCTGCTGTTGTGGTATAAAAGCAGCCATAGGAGGCTGGGCGCAGTGGCCCACTCCTGTAATCCCAGCACTCTGGGAGGCCAAGGCAGGTGGATTGCCTGAGCTCAGGAGTTCAAGACCAGCCTGGCCAACACAGTGAACCTGTCTCTACAAAAAAAAAAAAAAAAAAAAAAAAAGCAAAACTTAGCCAGGCTTAGCAAAACTTAGCCACTGCACTCCAACCTGGGTAATAAGAGTGAGACCCTGTCTCAAAAAGTAAAAGAATAGACAATACATAAGCCATAGACAATAAGTGAAAGAACGAGTGTGGCTATGTTGCAGTAAAACTTTATGAATACTGAAATGTGAGTTTCACATAATTTTTACATATCATGAGATATATTAATTACCTTTATATTTTTCGGCCATTTAAAATATGTAAAAACTATTCTTAGCTTGCAGGCGCTACAAAAACAAGCTGCAATTAGCATTCTGCCCAGGAGCCATAGCTTGCTGTCTCCTAGTTTATACATCACTCAAGACGGTGTTTTCTCAGCGACTCTTAGCGTTTCCACACCCATTCCACTAGAGGGCGATCATGCTCAAGTTGGGTTTCCTTGGCTGCTAACTTTAGTTTAACCCAGCCTCCGAGCTGGGAGAGCCTAATGTCTCCCAATTCTGATGTGCCCTGAGCCAACAGCTCCTTTCTGGGGCCTCCATCCCATCCCATGTTTGTGGGGCCACAGTGAGTTACGTTCCAGTTAAAGGAGAGCTCTCAAAAGGCTTGTCAGCACATGTTTGGACAGAAGAGACACATTGGCGGCAGTCAGGGAATACACTGGTATTGTCAAGGAAGAGAGGTTTGGAGGGTACCATTGTGACAAAAAGTAAAAACAAAGAGCAGTGCTCACTTCTCTCAGTGGCAGGATCCAGGCCCCTGCCTTTCCCAGCCCTCGGCCCCACTTTTATGAAATGCAATAGGTTGAGAGGAATCTTCCCCTCTAGTCCTATGATGTGCTTGCTGGTCTCTTTGCCAAACTGTCATGGAGACATGAAGTGTTGCTATGTGCAGAAGAAAACACTGCATTGCAGGGAGACGACTTCTTTCTGTACTGTCTCCCTTCCCCACTGGCCGACCCCAATTTTATGAAGTGCAAACCAGGACCCTGGGGCCTGGCAAGGGAAGAAACTGACAGTTGCTTCCTATATGGCAGCTGGACACATTCCTGCTCCGAGGACAGACTCTTCAGTAATGAGATTTTTTTTTTCCTGGAAATGAAAAGTCACATCCCAGAATGATAAACTCCCAGGAACATAGAGCATTAAGGAAACCACTGAAGCTCATTGCATGCACTCCTGTCTCCATGCAGGACTTTATGTTACCTGGAACATGTCACATGTAAGGGACTCTGGAAAAAAGGAGCCGAGTCATTTTTAGTTCCCTATATTTATCTTTTCTGTGAACCCTAAAATACACCTAATTGCATAGAAGAAACGCACCTAACTGCAACAGTGGGTGGGGGATGCAGAATTGCTTTTTGATAAATATCTACAGTGGAAAATTGAATCGTTGTTTCTGGAGACATCTAAGTGGAGCTGGGCACCCCATGTTCAGCCTGGGAAAGCTCCGTTTTGCCTGAGGCTGGGCTATGGGCCAGATGACCGTGTAAAAGTCTCTCCAGGCTCAGAATTCTGTGAAGTTGAGGATGTGGATTTGGAGACTGTTTAACACAGAATGCCCAAAACTCTGTCCCTTTCCCTCCTGCATTTTTAATTCCTCCAGATTCTCCCTCCCCCATCCCTCTAGGCCCCGTCTTCCTCCTCCACCACACAATTACTCCCTTTCCTTCATCTCCTTAGCCCCTGGCTCTTTCTCCAGCCCATAAGCCTCTGTCCAGCTGGCTGGAGATGTGCATGGTACATCATTAGCCCTCAGTGGATCTGAGCAAGCATGACAAGTCTCAGCGTCATGACAGCAGCAGCCCTGCTGAGGACAGGGCTCCCGTCCCTACTGCCAGTGCTGCCTGGCCTGAGCCTTCCTGTGCTTCCTCCACAGGGCAGCCCATCCAGTACGCTCGCTCCACCTGCGAGGCCGGCGTGGCTGAGCTCCACATCCAGGATGCCCTGCCGGAGGACCATGGCACCTACACCTGCCTAGCTGAGAATGCCTTGGGGCAGGTGTCCTGCAGCGCCTGGGTCACCGTCCATGGTAGGAGCCTCTGGGCACCTGGGTAGAAGCACCTTTCCTGCAGGCACTTCTGCTTTGGAGGAAGGGCACATTTGTAGAAAATGGTATCATGAGCTCAAATCCAGGGAGCAGAGGTGCACATGGCACTACTCCACACCACTGGCAGCGGCAGGTGCCGTGACAGAGGAGTGGCTGCTGCAACCTCTTAGGGACAGAGGAGAGGGTCCTTAAAAAGTGCTGCACCTGCAGGTAGGAAGTGAGGGAGATGACCTCCAGGAGTTCACAGCGACAAGGGTGTCATCAGAGGTGGCCTTTTCCTCACCCCCTCACTCCACTGGGGCCATGGAAAGGTATGGGGGAAAGAGATAGGGCTCCCTTAGCTCCAGAAGCTCCAGGTCTGGTCAGAAGAAAACCTCGCACACTACAAAAGGACTTGGGAGAGCACTCACGTATTCCCTGAACAGTCAGTGGCCTCCCAGTGACCCCTTACATGCTGGGGGACCCTGGGTCACAGCGTGCACACTGAGGCTTCCAGAGGGTCACAGGTTGTCCCCTTTCTGCCCCCCTTCTACTCACGGGCCCAGGCTTGTTTTTACACATCAGCAGCCTGGTCTCCAGTAATCTGATTATCATGGTCATCCATTCATCAGCCAAGCACTTAGTCCCCGGGAACTGCAGGGAGCCTCAGACTCAAGACAGATCTGTCTGGGCTGTGGTATCAGCAGGCCTGGTGACAGTTCCCGTGGAAGTGCTTCTTGGGTCCAGGGCTTTCAGGTAAGCCTGATCCCACCATCACCCTGAGCCTATGCCCCCGGCTCCTGTGCATGACTGGGTCCTCTGGTGCTAGCACTGAGTGCAGCGTGACTGGTCTCCCATCAGACAAGCAGGAGGATACATCTCTCCATTCCCCGGGGCTCAGGCCTGTCAGGAACATCTCCGTGTTGTATGAGTAGCCACTGTCTGGGAGGCTGCAGGAGGAAGTTTCGCAGAAAAGGAAAGGGGAAGAAACATTTGTGGCTTACTGTGTTAAATACTTTCACCTCACCCGTATTCTCTCACTGAGACCTCAGTAGCCTAGGGGACAAGGATGCTGTCCTGATTTCAGACAGAAGGCTCTGGAAGTCTCGGGAATTGAATGTAACTTGCCTAAGCGCATCACGTTAGTCTGCAAAGCTGCACCCTGGAGCCCACAGCCTGTGACTTTCAAGTCTGTGCTCATTCCTATGCCCTGACCTTTTTCAGAGGACACATCCCCTGGCTCAAAGGGGAAGACTGGCCACTGTGGGCTGGGCAGTGTCAGTCCCTTAGGGATGAAGGAACTGGCACTGATGGAGAATGTGACTGACGCTGGCTCTGTGAAGCTCTCTGCCGGGAGTGAGCACGAGAAACTGGTCCACCCCTTCCTTCCAGGAAACCCACCACACTGGGTTCAGAGCCCAGCTCTGGCCTCTGGGAATTTGCAGCCAGATTCTGGTTTACAAACTTACTCATTTATCCTCATAGTTCTAACTTCATGACTCCCTGGGAGCCAGGTGGGGAGCTCAGGAAATTGTGATAATGAGATTTCAGAGGAAACCTGAACTGCTGAGAACCTTGTCTCTGAGGTCCAGGAAGCAGGACTCACCTGGGGGCTCTTCTTGGAGGCCAGCGTGGCCAACCCCAGAGTCAAGTAAGGGGCAGCAAGAGTCAGAATGCTACACGTAGAGCCGCCGTGGCTCAGCCCTCTGTTTTCTGATACTCCCTCCACAGCCACAGCCAAGGACTAATCCAATGTCTGTCCTGGCTTGCCTGTGTTTAGATTGGATTAGAGTGACCCAGCTGAGCTAAGAGTCCCCTGGAGGTGGGAGTCCCAGGCAAAGGATCAAGAATTCTTTAGGGCCATCCTCCTGACTCCCGGGCCTGTGGGGGCTGGGACCTGAAGGATCACCACCCATCCAAAGGAAAACAAAAAGCACAGAGAGGTCCCAGGCAAAAACTCTGCCAAGGAAGTTTGGATTTGCTCGGAGAAGAGGCCTGCATGACAGAACCCCCTCCCAGTGTGGGGGATGTACTGGGCTATAAAGACCAGACAGGCTCAGATACCATAAATGGTGAACAAGGCTGAAGACGCAGCCGCACGCTCAGGCCCGGCAGCATTTGGGCTCTTGGCATAGGATTGGAGCAGGGTGAGCCTGGCACAGCGACACCCCCTGGCACGGTGCCCTGAGACACTCAGGAGGCTCGGGGCTGCTCCCTGCGCTGTCCTCTGCTGTGGAGTTTTTCTGACTTGATTGGCAGCCCCGTTGGCTCTGGATCCTCGGGACAAGCCTGGGCTGGGGGAGATGATCACAGTGGAGGTGTTTGTTCCCTACTGCACTGATGGCTGCTTCACCCCTCCCTTAGCTGTCCAGGTCCAGCCCTCTCTTGCCCTTAGTGTGGCACCAGGCCACGGTGGGGAGCATGGATGTGGAGCCAGCGGCCTGGGTGTGAGTCCTGCTCTGCCACTTACTAGCCCTGCACCCTGGCGTTTTAGCATTCCAGACCTCAGCTTCCTCTTGTGTGAAATGGAGATGCTGACAGTCGCGGTACTGTGAGGATTAAGTGAATGAATGTGCAAAGTATCCCCAGAGCATAGGATAGCACACACCCTCCATAGGTATGTGCTGTGATTATGATTGTCCAGCAGAGCCCACCTTTAAACAAGATACAATCCTTACAAATGCCAAGACTGAGGAGGGGTTTTCCCAAAGGATCCACTTTGCTACAGTATTGTGTGTTTGTTTGGCCATCAGAGAATCAGAGGAGGGAGGTGTCCAGCCAGACACAAGCCATGAACACTCGTGCCTGCTTCCAAGGGCTCTGGCCACAAGGTGGCACCATGCAGCAACGCGTGTCCCTCCAGTTGTCTTCTCTCGGGGGTGGTTGAGGGGCAGCTCTGCTGCAAGCAAGCTTATTCTGAGAGCTCAGCAGATACCGTGCCAAAGGCCAGATGCAGGGGCTCTTTCTCACCTCTCGCCTTTTGCCGAGATTTTGCAATCATCGAGATTGCTGGTGCAGCCCTCAGACGCGATTTCTGCAGCCAGCCCTTCATGCTTTCTCTGCCTTCCCTCCTCAGTGACTCTCTTCTTCTCCAAATCCTGGAAACTCCCACAAATGTCACTTTCTCTGGGAAGCCTACCCTAATCACCCCAGAATGCGTTCCCTGAACACCGTGTGCTTCTAGTATTACACTTACTTATCAACAAGTCTTTACTGCGCGCCTATATTGATCAGTGCCAGGCATTGTTCTGGGGAAACTGCAGTAGACAGGACAGCTGAGGGCCCTGCCTGCAGGGTGCTTACGTTCTGATGAGGATGCCAGCAGCAGTCAGCACCTGGCCTCATTTCAAATGCTGGCACGTGCTGTTAAGAACATGAGCAGGTCACAAAGGAATAATTATAAAGAGAAAAAGCCAGTGAGTGGGGTGTGTGAATCGAGGAGGGTGAGAGGGTGTATCTTTAGTGCTGTGAGGAAGCCTCAGAGGTGTCCATGGCCTGGGGAAAGAGAGCTCTAGGTGGGCAGCACAGCAAGTGCAAGGCCCTGAGTCAGGAGCAAGGTTGACCCATTCGAGGAGTAGCAAGACAGCAGCCTCTGTGGCTGCAGCAAAGTAGACGGGGCAGTGTGATAGAAAGTGAGTTCAGAATGCGGGGGCTCACCATTCCAGGCCTCTGGAGGAGAGGAGAAAACAATTTACTCCGTGAAAATTCACTTTCATTTTACTCTACTTGCTTAATTATCTTCCTCTCCACACTGTAAGCTCCCTGCAGGGAGGGATCACGTCATACTGTGTGTAGAGCCAGGCCTGCCATGGGAGCATGCATTCCCTGAATGGATGAGAGCACAGAGGTTGCCGAACCTCCCCTGCAGTGCAGGGAGGCATTCCCTAGAATTCCTCGCTTTTCTGGGGGCTCAGTGCCCATTAGGGTGTGCAGGAAATCTGCAAATTACCTTCAAGAGTCCCTCAACAGGGCTAGGCACAGTGTCTCATGCCTGTAATCCCAGCACTTTGGGAGGCCAAGGCAGGTGGATCTCTTGAGCCGAGGAGTTCGAGACCACCTTGGGCAACACGGCAACACACCGTCTCCACAAAAAACACAAAAATTAGCCGGGAGTGGTGGCCCATGCCTCTAGTCCCAGCTACTCAGGAGGCTGAGGCAGGAGGATTGCTTGAGCCTGCGAGGTCGAGACTGCAGTTGCAGTGAGCCGTAATCACACCACTGGACTCCAGCCTGGATGACAGAGCAAGACCCTGTCTCAAAAAAAAAAAAAAAAAAAAAAAAAAAAAAAAAAGAGTCCCTCAACAAATATTCCTTCTTTCCCCAACACAGGCTAGGGAAAAAAAATTCCCCAATAGTTAACCAAGCAATGAATGTCTTTCCTCCTGACCCAGGATGAGTCCTGATCCAGGATGATTAATTCAAATTCCTGCAGAGCCCAGGAATATCTGAAATACAGTATATATTTCACAGCGTTTGGACTGAGTCATTGCTGGGGGCTTCCTTGGGCTAGAATATTTAAAATTTTTTCCCCCTGGAGTATCTCCATCAAGGCTAAAATTCTTAAGTGTCTAGATTTATTAATAGCCTGCCAGTTGTGCCCATTTGACATAGTTTCTCAGCCTAACGGTTTGTTTATTTAACTGAAGGCCTAGTGGGCCTGTTTAAGGCATCTAAGGACATAAAATGTGGGTAGGTTAAAAAGATGAAAAGATCATCTCTAGAATAGATAATAAAATATAACAAGCATATTTATTAGAGTATTTGTTTTGATGCAGAGCTTCTAATGAAGACAACAGGCATCAGTGAAGTCAGCGTTTGCTTGGCAATGAGTAGAGGCACAGTTTGTTTTCAGATTAATACCAGGCACTCTGCGGGGCAGCCTGGAGCCACCTCCTTTGTCTTCCCTGGTTATGCACAGGTACTTTGGACACTATACAATCTATCCAGTTAACATAACGTATGGATCCTGACCTCCTCAAGCTTAAAAACACTGACAACTTCTTAAATACTTACATTGGCTACAGAAAAATATATTGAAGAAGAATAAATACCAGTTTTAACTTGCCTTTTTTATATATATTAAGAAGCTTAGTTTATTCAAAACATCTGTCCACAAGCCTTTAAACTGTAAGAAGGCAAGCAATTAATTACATGTTAAAATTTATAACCAATATTTTCATTTTATGTAGGTTGAGTACAGAATTGGGTTTGTGTACCACATGGGTTCTTTGTGTTACAGAAAGACTTCTGAGCATATACATGTACGTTTGTGCCCATGCCATAGAATTTGAGCCTCATTTTACTAATAGGGCCATTATAGAGCTTTATAACTCTCCACCTCTACAGCCCATAGTCAGTCATAATTACATAGAGACCCAGATCAAGAATGCTATCCAGAATCGCAGGATTGAGCTCCTAGTGGCAAAATGTGACCCATGTGATGACAGTGTAACTGAGAGTGTGGCTTCCAGGCCCGCACTGGGAGGGAACAGTGGGTGGTTTGGATGCCATACCTTTATGTTTAGAGTGTGATTATAGCTTCTAAGACAGTGGAAAGGCTGTGGTTTCAGTGATCCTTGCTTCCCAGCTAGCAACCCTATCATTACTGGTCAGAGATCTTTTTTGGGATATTATACGTCATTGTTCCTTTCATTCTTTTCCTCGCACACTTCTCTTCCCATTTGCTTCTTAAGTTCTGGGAGGAAGGGAGGCCAAAAGAAAACAAGGCTATGGGAGGAAAAATCCTTTTAATGCCACAAAGTAGCCATTTTGCTGACTTCAAGAAGGTTCTGTTTGGTTAGGAGACAGACTTTTGTTTAAGGGGAATTCAGATGCCCCGGGGATTTACAGCTTGCACAAACCCCCTGGAAATGGGAAGGGGCTGTGTGGCGTGTCAGCAGGGAGAATGTAACTCTTCTTTGATGAATCCTCCAGAGTTAACAATCCTGGAATTTAGGGAAAGGAGGAGGCTGGTGGTGATCCCTGGACCATGCTGGATTTTGAACTCCAAATAAAGAAAGATGGGGGCACTGTGCTTCCATGGTGCCCCCTCAATTGGTGATCTGTTGAATTTCCATAGTATAACAGGGTTTGGAGTGAATCAGAATTGCTGTTGGAATGGCATTTTGCATTGTAATAACTAAGGAATACAGCTCATGTTCAAAGCCTAAGGAAAATATTTGGTAGATCCAAGATTAAGGCAAACATGTGTTGAATGCAAATTTGGATCCAGGACCTTGGGGCTTCAGAAAGTAGCAAGTTGACCAGCAAATGTTGGCAGGTAGAAAAACACACTTATAAGGAGAAATTCAGAATTTAGTTGTTTTTCCTACTAAAACAACGGAAAGAAAAGGAAGGGCTGTGAAGGGAAGACAGGAGAATTATTGTAGTGCAGAAGGAGATGGCAGATCCTGGTCAGCCACCAGGACAAAGGCAACAGTGGGTTCCTAGTGTCAGGTCCTAGAGGAGGTAAAGGCCTCACTCCTGGTGCTGGGTTTGAAGAAGAGGCTTTACTGGTTATTTTATAAGAAGAATTAGTGCAAGAGGTAGCAAACTGCTCCTAACTCTTCCTCTAAATAAAAGCTTTCCAAAACGCCATGTTGGGTATCAATTTATATTAGGTTTTTAAAGTAAAACCACTATCAATTTGTTTTTAAGAAGGAATTGTTTGATAGGAAAGTCTAATTGGCTAGAAAAGCTGGCTTGTTTTATTTAATTCTCACAACAACTCCACTTGACACTTCCGAATTCACTTTACAGATGAAGAAAGTGATGCTCAGGAGGTGATGTCAGCTGCCCACAGTAGTCCAGGTGATCAGCAGCAGCACCAGGCCACCACCTGCTTCAGCCCATGGGCTTTCTGCATGGCTGCTCTTGGATCCTGATAGGTCATTTGTTTGATGCTTTTGCTTCACCAGAGCGATCATTTCATGTTTAGTTTCATGACTAGGAACTGGCTTCAAAAACAACTTCTAGTGAGTCAAAAACAGCCAAAATGGCAAGGACGGAAAAACTCCATGGGTCAGTAGAATCATAAAGGGGAGAGTGCGTATATCTGTCTGTCTCTCATTCTCTCCCCCTTCCTTTGCTTCCCTTTTCCCCCTCTCTCTTCCTCACATTGCCTCTTTTTCTTTCTCTTCTCTCTGTTCTTCCCTTTCTCCATTCTTGCTCTTTCTTAAGTCCTATTAACAGCTTCGTCTACATGGCATCGTTTTTACTTGTCAGCAATCTGCTTGGGCTTATTCTTAGTCATTGTGCTTGTCTTTCCCATTGGACGACAGCCCGATCAATCCTTTTCCATTCTGTCAAAATGGGACAGTGGCAGTTTAATGACTGAGTCCAGGAGTGAATTGGCTAATACCAAGTAACAGAGCAACAGATAAATGCACTTTAGATCCTTAATCCTAGGCAAGGAAAGCAAGGAGACTCAGCCCTTTCTGCACTCCAGAAAGAAGGCCCTCTCTGGGCTCAGTCTCAGCAGAGCAGCAGGAAGCACAGCTGTGGGGAAACCCGGGGTATATTTAGTTTGGCCCCATTTGAGCTGGGCAAGTCTGTCACTGGGTCTCAGCAAAGCATCCCTTGCTATTTGTGTGCCATGGCCAGTGGGTGTCCTCCCAAGACGAAGAAGTCTTGGGCTCTCTGAGACAACCTTGTCACTGGGGGCCTCTTGCCTCAGACCCTGGTCCTTAAACCAGGATGATGCTAGAAGGAGGCCAAGGACAAGCAGAGAGGAGTGACTCCCAGGGTAATGGGTAGCTCTGGACATGAATATGGATGATGACAGAAAGCTCCTCACAGAATTGAGACCTGCCTCTGCTCCCAGGACAGTCAAGGGAAAGCACCCAGACCAGGACCCCACCAGCAGCATCTCCCTCCTCATGGGGCATCGCAGCCCCAGGACCTTAGGACAGGCGAGCTTCTTTCTCTGAGTCTCAGCTCCCTCCACTGTAAAACAGACACAATCTGCCCAATACTTCCGAGATGTTGAGGGTAACACTGAATTAGCTATGAACATCTTTTGGAATCCTGGAGCGCTGGGCTTTATAAGGAATCATCGTTACATGAAAGTTCTGGTTTGGGGGGTTTTTCTCATTGGAGTTATTATCAGGTTGAATTTCCACAACCAAAGGAGTTAGTTGGGTTGGGAAAGTCAGAAAACATTGATTTTTATACTGCTTGTGTGCCATGTATTGTTCTAGCTGTTTTATATGTTACTTTCTAATCATCTAAAACCCTGCAATATTACCATGCATTAGACTGATGATGCAGACATCATACTTCTCAGTATTATGTTGCCATAAGTTTGGAGGAGAGAACACCGAGGCTTGCTTTGGGAAGGTTGCTTCAGATCACACAGCCAGGGCCACGAGTTAAGAATGCCAGTTTCCATCTGTCCTTTCGTATTTTACTTAAGTCCACAGAAGAGTGAGCAGAAACTGATAGAGGCTAGAGGCCAGAGATGAGCCAGAATAATTTGTTTGGCTTTGGAATGAATTGCAATACACACACACACACACACACACACACACACACACACACACACACACACACATTGTGTTGCTCTTTTCACCTGGCTTGTCTCTGTTCTGCTTTAGTTTTTCTCAGTTGTCAAGGATCTAGGATGTGGGTCAGCTGACAGTGTGTTTGTCCTGGAGCGGTCACCATGGGCACCGTTGGAGGAGACTGGTTCCCTTTGAAGGGACGCCTACGTAACATCCCGGCCTTGTCATCAGAAGGCCTGGGCATGAGCTCTGGGTCTGCCCACACTGGCCCCATGATGTTAGCCAAGTCACTTCCCGTTAGTTAAGTCTCTCCTGGTCTCTACACCAGTACAGTGGAATGGTGAGTTGGGACTGGGTCCCACCTTGCCGGTCTGAGAACAGGCTCGTTCTGAACATTCACTCCCAATCATTTCCATCTTCCCTTCTTTCTTGCTGTAGGGCTTTGGGGAACAAAACACAGGACCGGGGGCAATGAGTGACACCGAACTAAATGTCTGCCGATCGGCCGGTTTCCCCCAAGTTCACTCACTCATCTCCTGGAGGGGGTGCAATGAAAGCTTGTCCTCAATTTACTTTGAGATATATCCCATGATATTTTTAAGCAACGCATTTGTATTCCTAATAGTATTTGCCTCAGGTCCTATAAAAATGAGTCCATAATCCTTGGGTGAAGCCCAGACTCCATTGGTTCTTTGACTGCTGATAAACCCATTGAGTAATTGAGCCCAAGTGGATAGATGTGAGTCAGTTCTCATGCTAGGCTCGTACAAATGTTCTCATTGATAATGAATGGTTGTACAAAGTATTTTTACCTATTATCTCTTTAAAACTACCCAAAGTCCTGTGATGATACCACGACTCCCCGTAGAGACCGATGAGGAAGTGGGGCTTCAGACGGAGGCAGACTTGCCTGAGGCCAGGATCCCCTCCACAGCTGCAGGTGGAACCAGTGAGCTGCCAGGTGGGAGGCAGCTCCCAGGCCACCCTTTCATGCATACTTCTGAGCTCCCAGGGGAGGGAGAGGCAGATAGGCTTTTAGTCCCCAATGGCTGAGACCCACAGGGTGACTTGGCTTTGCCAAACCCCCAGGAAACAGGGGCTGTGGGAAGAACCCAGAGAAGGTGGGGTTGAAGAGGAGACTGCCACAGGCTTAAAGGGGAGTGCGCTGGAGTTGGTGACGTTCCCGTAGCATCTAGGAATTTGAGCCCATCTGCATGAAGCTCTGTAAGGCTGGGGACTCGCTGAGATTGCAGAGAGGCAGGAACAGGGAATGCTATAGAAAGACAAAAACATTTTGTCCTTGAGCCTTCTCAGTCTGTGCAAGACAGGAAATTCCTCAACTCTCCCGAGGCAGCCAGCTCTCCTGACTGCTGCAGCCTAGTGAGAGAAACGAGATAGATCAATGCATTTCCAATCCTGTGCCCCCAAGCCCACTCCCAGAGCTTCTGCCAAGGCCCCTGGCGGCCCTCCATCGAAGGCTGCGGTGCTGAGTCAGCAGCACCAGAGAGCAGCAGGGGCCTGAGAGCCCCATCTTCCAAGGGGACCGTGGGGGGTTACCTGCTCTCACACTCAGGCTCCATGCCCTTCAACTGCACCTGCTTTGGGGGAAGTTTTCCTCCAGCCTCCTGGACCTTCCCAGCCTCTCCCCATCCAGGTTCCCAGAGGCTGGGCTAGGAGAGTTCTACAGTAGGCCTGCTTTCATTTTCAGTGGCAGTGGATAAAAATTCGGTGGCAACTTTGGAGGTGACACCTGCCCAGATACATTACATACCCTGGAAACCTCCCCATGGCTCCACTTCCTGAAGAAGGTCTAGTATTTGTGGTCCTGTGTTGAGAAGAACCCAAAATGCCTGTGGCCCTTTCCCCAGAAACTTAGGGTTTAAGTTAGAGATATCCTAACCCTCCCTTTCTCAACAGTTGAACCTGCCAAAAACAAAAACAAAAATTGCTAAAATGGCATTACTGAAAGTCAAGCTGCCTGGCTCACAGAACCAAGGGAGAGACCAGAGGCTGGGCAGCCATGGCTTGTCCTGCACCAGGATTGTTCCCTGTGAGACGTGGATGGCAGGGCCAGCCACTCTGCAGTCCCCTCCCCTTCAGCTCCTGTGAGGCAGGGATTCTAAGCATGAGGAAAGGCTGTTCACCCACCTCCACAAGAAACTGAATGTGAGTGAGGCGCCAGGCCTCTCACCCTCCTCCTTGACTTGCCGACACACTCCCTGTCTCAGAGAAATTGATTTTTTCTCCCAGTTTTTATTGAGGTATTATTGATGTACAATAAACTATGGAGACTTAAGGTGTTCAGTTTGATAAGTTTTGACATATGCACACACATGAAACCTTTGCCATGATTTTTAAAAGTGAAATTCTCATTGTCCCCAAATGTTTCCTCATGCCCCTTTATAATCCAACCCCCCGTCCCCTGCCCCACACCACTACTGACCTGCTTTCTGTCACTGGACTTTGCATTTTCTAGAATTTTATATAAATGGAGTCATCCAACATGCACTCTCTCTTTGGCATCTTCCTTTTTTTTTTTGAGACAGAATCTTGCTCTGTCTCCCAGGCTGGAGTGCAGTGGTGTGATCATGGCTTACTGCAGCCTCAACCTCCCAGGCTCAAGTGATCCTCCCACCTCAGCCTCCCAAGTAGCTGGGACTACAGCTTGGTGTCTTTCATTCAACATAATTATTGTGAGATTCATCCCTGTTGCGGTACCCTCAGTAGTTCATTCTTTTGTGTTGCTGAGTAATATTCCATTGTGTGGATATATCACAATTTGTTTTACTCACCTGTTAATGGACATTTGGGTCATTTCTAGTTTGCAGCTATTGTGAATGAAGCTGCTCTGAATGTTTGTGTACAAGACTTTGTATGGATATGTGCTTGCGTTTCTCTCAGGGACATACCCAGGAGTAGCATGACTAGATCCTAAGGGAAGTATATGTTTAACTTTTTAAGAAACTGCCAAAATGTTTTCAGAAGGTTCTGTACCACCTGCCATGTATGAGAGATGCAAGTTTTTCCACATCCTTGTCAAGACCAATTCCTGGGATGTGATGTCTTTTTATTTTTAGCCATTCTAATGAGTGTAGTGTCTTTGGCTTTTGTGAGGTGCTTAAAACCTCCTAGGATGGGAATGGAGCACCATATAATTATCGAAAATGACAAAGAAGCTCTTCAGTTCTGTCTTATGAGAGACACCAAGATGTATTGTTAAAGGGATGCCAAGCATTTTGTGTAACGTGCTTTCATTTACTTTTTTAAGAAGAAAATAAATGCCTGTTTGCTTCTATATGTTACACACGTAGATCATTTCTGGCAAGATGAACAAGAAACTGAAAACTCGTTGCCTCTGAGGAGAGATCACTGGTGGCTGGGGGATGGGGTGGGAGGGAGACTTGCCATACTCTTTGGTACCTTTTGAATTTTGTGCCATGTGAGTGTATCATTTATCTGAAAAATAAATAAAATATTTTTTAAAACTCACAAACTTATAAGAACTCATTGTTCATTCCTGGCTATCAGGCAAGAACATCGTCATTGCCAAGCAGAGAAATGGGAGGCATCTTGTTCCTAATGATCTCTAGAAACTCCAAACACTCTTTATCTGTTAGCTGCCAGTTTCTGGTGGGAACTGAGCATCAACACAGTCATGTACCAAGTGGTCATTTAGTCTGTGTTTGTTGAATGAATGCATGAATGTTCACCCCACGTTCTGTTTTCTACCACACAGAAAAGAAGAGTAGCAGGAAGAGTGAGTACCTTCTGCCTGTGGCTCCCAGCAAGCCCACTGCACCCATCTTCCTGCAGGGCCTCTCTGATCTCAAAGTCATGGATGGAAGCCAGGTCACTATGACTGTCCAAGTGTCAGGTCTGTCTCTGCAGCTCTCTCTTGGGGATTAACATGAAAATGGTCTTGGTTGCAATGGGTATTGCTCTCCGAGGACCCGCTCAGATCCTTGATCCACCAGAAAATCAGATGGGACCATCAGGTGATGGACCCAAAGAAATGGAGACTCTTGTCCTCTCTTTTCTGCCTTCTCTGGGTAGGATTTTCTGGATTCATGATTAAATGGTCCAGAGGAAGAAGATGGCCATAGAGCTAGAGCAGTGAAAGATTAATTTGAAAATATAGTGTGGCCAGTGTAGCTGGAAGGTTTTGAAGACTGGTACAAAACCAGATTATGGGCCGGGCACGGTGGCTCACGCCTGTAATCCCAGCACTTTGTGAGGCCGAGGCAGCAGATCACAAGGTCAGGAGATCGAGACCATCCTGGCTAACACGGTGAAACCCTGTCTCTACTAAAAAATACAAAAAATTAGCTGGGTGTGGTGGCCGGTGCCTGTAGTCCCAGCTACTCGGGAGGCTGAGGCAGGAGAATGGCGTGAACCTGGGAGGTGGAGCTTGCAGTGAGCCGAGATCGCACCACTGCACTGCAGCCTGGGCGACAGAGCAAAGACTCTGTCTCAAAAAAAAAAAAAAAAAAAAAAATTATGTGAGAACTTCCCAAATCTCAGAAGATGTTCTCAGTTGCACTATTCAAATTTTAAGGTCCTCCCAACAAACCCATGAGGTAGATCCTGTTTGAATTCCTATTTTACTGATGGGGAAGTGAAAGCATAGAGAGTTGTTGGAGTGTTTCATCCAATATCACTGCATTCAGCGCAGAGTTGCTGCATGGCCGGGGAGGACCTCCCTAACCAATCCCCCTTCCCCTCCTCCTGGTTCAGGGAATCCACCCCCTGAAGTCATCTGGCTGCACAATGGGAATGAGATCCAAGAGTCAGAGGACTTCCACTTTGAACAGAGAGGAACTCAGCACAGCCTTTGTATCCAGGAAGTGTTCCCGGAGGACACGGGCACGTACACCTGCGAGGCCTGGAACAGCGCTGGAGAGGTCCGCACCCAGGCCGTGCTCACGGTACAAGGTGAGGCTGACCCACTCAGAGCGAGTGGGAAGGAGATGCTGCTGCAGCCCCTCCAAAAGTGATTTGGAGGCAAGGAAACCACATGAGGCTACTTTGTTCCCACTGAGGGCCCTCTCGTCCCTCAGTCCCACCCCAGCCCCAGAGGCCAGCTCCCTGTCCAACATCACAAGCTCTGACTGAGTGGGGCTGCCTTTCCCAGCTTTCTGAAGTCCCTGCCCTCTCTGGGTTACTGGTGCCAAGGTGCATAGAGTACTAAGAGGGAAATCTGTAATACACTTAACAATTTGGCAGCGATAGATTTTGAGGTGAGTTATAGGCTTAACAGGGTCCTTGCCATTAGATAACATATTTAAGAGGAGAGGCAAGTTAAGCACACATAAAGTGAGTGACAACTCTTAATCACACGCATTGGATACAGATCATTAGCACCTGGCTCGGTGCCCCGTGCCTTCTGGGCTACCTCCCCTTACATTGGATATACAGTCATGTTAATATTATCCTCTGAGAATGTATCCGAGATGGATGTGCAATGAGAAGGGTGTGCTGCATTTGTGTATCCAATCACAGTGATTTCTGGACAATCTGTTACTTGGGTGACATGCTATCTTCCCATCCTTCACCTCCATGGAGAATTGAGTGGACACTGCCTGCTGAGGGACATCCCTGTTTAGCTCTGCCCTTTGCCAATTTCCAGAGCCTCACGATGGCACCCAGCCCTGGTTCATCAGTAAGCCTCGCTCAGTGACAGCCTCCCTGGGCCAGAGTGTCCTCATCTCCTGCGCCATAGCTGGTGACCCCTTTCCTACCGTGCACTGGCTCAGAGATGGCAAAGCCCTCTGCAAAGACACTGGCCACTTCGAGGTGCTTCAGAATGAGGACGTGTTCACCCTGGTTCTAAAGAAGGTGCAGCCCTGGCATGCCGGCCAGTATGAGATCCTGCTCAAGTGAGTCTGCATGTCCAGCCAGCCTCCCTTAACCCTTCCCTCCAAATTCCTAGCTCCCCTAACCTGGGTCTGGGCAGCCAGAAGAAGCACAAACTGATGTGGGGCTTGGACTTCCAGGTAAAGCAAGTGCGGGCTCAGTGCTGCTCACAAGCTTTTGCTTCTTCCACTTCAGTATAGCAAATGTTCATTAGAACTTTCCCTTTTGAGCTCAGTTCCCCAGAATCCTGTCTTGTTACATCCTTGTTCCCCCATTATGTGGTGTATGGTGAGTATGAAGGAAGGAGGAATGGATCAAAGTTGGAAAAGCAGGGGGATAGGGGGAATGCATTTGTTATCTGTTGCTGTGTAACAAATTACCCTGAAACTTAGCAGCTTGAAACATTTATCATCTCCCAGCTGGGAATTTGGAAGCAGCTTAGCTGGATGATTTTGAAGTTTCAGTCAAGATGTCAGCAGGGGCTGCAGTTTCTGAAGGCCTGACGGACACTGGAGGATCTGCTTCCAAGGCTCACTCCCGTGACTGTGGCAGGAGGCCTCAGCTCCTCACTGGTTGTAGGTGGGAGGCCTCGGCTCCTCACTGGCTGTTGGTGGGAGGACTCAGCTCCTTGCGTTGTGGACCTCTCCGTGGGGCTGCTTGAGTGTCTTTTTTAGCATGGCAGCTGGCTTCCCCAGAGCTAGTGATCGAAGAGGGAGCCCAGGTCAGAGCTTGCAGTGTCTTTTAAGACCTACCCTTGGAAGCCACACGCCATCACTTCCGACTTTGTTAGAAGTGAGTCACTAAGTACAGCCCGTACTCAAGGGGAGGTAAATTCAGTTCCACCTCTTGGAGAGAAGAATTTGCAGACATTTTAAAACTACCACAGGGAGGCTACCTTTCCCCATTACTTTTTTCTCTCCTTTTCAAGGGCTTGCTAGGTTACATGGGAAGGTCAGCTCCATGAGGCACACTGCTACATTTCCATGAGGCACACTGCTACATTTCCATGAGGCACACTGCTACATTTCCATGAGGCACACTGCTACATTTCCAGGCCTGGAACAGTGGAGAGCCCATAGTCGACATTGGGTAGCTATTTATTAGATGAATGTGATTCAGAAATGCTCTTTTACCTTGAAAATGCCCTGTCTCTTAAAATCCTATGCCAGCCCTGGATTGATGGAGACAGAATGCCTTCTGTGGGTCCTGGGGTTGGTGTAAGCATCGAAGAAGAGCATTTGTTTGCACCTAACCTACAAATAGGAGGTCGTGCCACATCCTGAGGATGGTTAGACCTGTCCTGGCCCGGGTGCCTGACCACTTTGCAAGGGGCTTTCTCGCCTGTACTTTATCATCTCCCCATGCTGAGCCCATCATGTTCACAGCTCTGAGCTACAAATAAGCTCTAGAGCTAAATGCCAAGGCTACTGCAAAACCCAATATGTACCCCATCCCCTTAGGTCCTTTGTGACCATGTGCTTTATACCTGAATCAGTTATCTTTTGCTGCATAACGAACCACCCCAATACTTAATAACTATTAAAAATAGCTCGTTTATTTTTAAAGCAGTTTCATTATTTCTTAGGAGTCTTTGGGTCTCCTATAAAGTTCTGCTGATTTAGGCAAGGCTAATCTCAGCTGAGCTCAATGACATGTCTGTTGTGGTCAAGTGATGGGATGCTTGTGAGCTGCTGGTCCCCCTACTATTATTAGCGGTACACTCAGAATGCATCAACTGCCTTTGCATTATGCTTGAACTAGTTATTACCAGGAAGGCCACTCTGCCTCCAAAATGGGGAGAAGGTACACGCTTACCCCCTAGGTCAGTACAAAGAATGGAAACCGATGATGTGTAAAAATACCTGCTGATGATCTCGTCAGTATAGAAGGAGTAGCACTTTGAGATAATACTTACATTACTCAAGCCAGACATCCTAGAGGAGATGAGCTTGTTTGGGGATTTTGATGGAAAAGGAAGGCTGAATCTTGGCAAATGTGATAAGGCTTAGCTGTTGAGTAGGCCGAGCAAGAAAGGGTGGGGTGGGGGCAGAGCCAAGCAAAGGGCTGTGGGAAGTTTGCCAGGCCAGAGAGGAGGCGTGCACCAGGAGGTCGGCAGGCAGACTGTCTGGGGCCAGCTGGGGACAGTCATAAAATTTAGACTGTCCCAGCAGGAAGGGGCTTCAGAAGTTATCCAGCCTCATC